>NC_000010.11:87112792-87264307 GCF_000001405.40 Homo sapiens
TCCTTACTGATAGGGATGTAAAATGATACAGATACTATGGGAAACAGTCTGGCAGTTCCTCAAAAAGTTAAACATACAGTTGCCATATGACACAGCAGTTCCATTCCTAGGTCATCCCAAGAGAAATGACTACATATGTCCATACAAATACTTGTACATGAGTGTTAATAGCAGCAATATTCATAATTGTAAAAGAGTGGGAACAACCTAAATGTAGATCAGCTGATGAATGGATAAACAATATGTGGTCCAGCCGGGTGTGGTGGCTCACACCTGAAATCCCAGCACTTTGGGAGGCCGAGGCAGGTGGATCACCTGAGGTTGGAAGTAGAAGACCACCTGACCAACATGGAGAAACCCCATCTCTACTAAAAATACAAAATTAGCCGAACATGGTGGCTCATGCCTGTAATTCCAGCTACTTGGGAGGCTGAGGCAGGAGAATCGCTTGAACCTGGGAGGTAGAGGTTGCAGTGAGCCGAGATCATGCCATTGCACTCCAACCTGGTCAATAAGAGCGAAACTTTGTCTCAAAAAACAAAACAAAACAAAAACAAAAACCAGTATGTGGTCCATCCATACAATTCAGCCACAAGAAGGAGTGAAGTACAGATTCATGCTGCAACATGGATAAACCTTAAAAACATTATGCTGAGTGAAAGAAGCCACGAAAGATCACATATTGTATGATCCCACTTATATGAAATGTTTAGAACAGGAAATCCATAGAGATAGAAAAGAGATAAATGGTTTCTAGGAGATGGGGAGGGAGGCAATTGGGAATGACTGTTAATAGGTATGGGGTTCTTTTTAGGTGATAGAAATGTTCTGGAATTAGTGTAGATGGTTGCAAAATGTGAATACACTAAAACTACTGAATTGTATACTTTGAAATGGTAAATTGTATGCTATGTCAATTAAAAAAAAGTATAGGCCAAGTGCAGTGGCTGAAGCCTGTAATCCCAGGCTTTGGGAGGCCGAGGCGAGTGGATCACTTGAGGCCAGGAGTTCGAGAACAGCCTGGCCAACATGGTGAAAACCCATCTCTATTAAAAAAACAAAAACTGGCTGGGCGTGTTGGTACATGCCTGTCATCCCAGCTACTGGGGAGGCTGAGGCACAAGAATTATTTGAATCCAGGAGGTGGAGGTTGCAGTGAGCCAAGATCACACCACTGCCCTCCAGCATGGTCAACAGAACGAGACTGTCTTGAAAAAAAAAAAGATAAATTATGGTATTTGCTTTGGAATTAAATAATTAGTAACTTTTAGTAAGGTTTGGTAAAGGTTTAGTAACCTTTAGTTAACCCAGTTAACTTCTGTGTCTTATATTTGTCTTTGTACTGAAGTAGTTGAATGCCACTGACCCACAGAATGAGTTGCCAGAGAACTGGAGCAACATTCTGTTTGTGGGAAAGAGAATACTCTGTTACTACCTTAATATTAGATTCCCAGCATATCAATTGAAGGGTTTTAAATAGTGAGTGATGTGTTTCAATTTATATTTATATTATATTTACACTTGATCTTAGCCAAAAGGCTGAGAAAGCGATTTTATATTATATTTATAAAGATCACTTTAGCTTTCTCCTGGAGACTGGATTGGTAGGGACAAGGTGACATTGGTGAACTTGGTTAGAAAGTCAGTCAAGCCCGTGTGCAGTGGCTCACGCCTATAATCCCAGCACTTTGGGAGGCCAAGGCAGGTAGATCATCTGAGGTTAGGAGTTCGAGACCAGCCTGGCCAACATGGTGAAACCCCTTATCTACTAAAAATACAAAGATTAGCCAGGCATGGTCGTGGGTGCCTGTAATCCCAGCTACTCAGGAGATTGAGGCAGGAGAATCACTTGAACTCGGGAGGTGGAGGTTGCAGTGAGCCGAGATTGCGCCACTGCACTCCAGCCTGGGCGACAGAGCAAGACTCAGTCTCAAAAAAACAAAAACAAACAAACAAAAAACCAGTCAGTACTCTAGGGAAGAAATAACAATAGCTATATTATGACATAGTAGTGAGTTGAAGATAACTGAATAGCCAAAATATATTTTGGAGATAGTTTGATATGAGAGGTGAGGAAAAGTAAGTAGTCATGTGTGGCTCTTTGTTTCTGGCTTTAATAACTCCAGTAGTTCTGGAAGAGACTTAGTGGGAAACATTTTGGATAAACTGAGTTTGTCCAAATGGGGTTGCCAAGTGGAGAGTTGAGTAAATGAAGCTAGAGCTCAGGAAAGATGTGGACCAGAGTTATAAGTCATATTTATTTATTTATTTATTTTGAGACAGAGTCGTGCTCTGTCGCCCAGGCTGGAGTGCAGTGGTGCGATCTTGGCTCACTGCAACCTCCGCCTCCGGGGTCAAGTGATTCTCCTACCTCAGCCTCCAGAGTAGCTGGTATTACAGGCACGGGCCACCATGCCCAGCTAATTTTTGTATTTTTAGTAGAGACGGGGGTTTCACCATGCTGGCCAGGCTGGTCTCGAACTCCCGACCTTAGGTGATCCTCCTGCCTCGGCCTCCCAAAGTGTTTGGATTACAGGTGTGAGCTACTGAGCCCAGCATAAGTCATATTTAAAACAATGGGAATGGGTAGGAACACCTAGAGATAGAGTGTGGGAAATAGAATAGGGTCCAGTATACAGCTGTGCCAAATTTCACATGTACAGGTTAGATAGTGGAGTGGGTCAGTTCTGTTGGGAATGCCCTGAAAGTTTGAATAATGATAAGCACGTCCTTTTAACATCATGAGGTAGTGGTGACGTTGTAAGAGGAGTTTCAGTGTAGTGGGTTGTCATGGGTTAAAACGTTCAGATTGTCATGGGTTAAAACGTGAATTGGATATGAGGAAGTGGAGTGCACAAAGATAGTTTTCTGAAAGTTTTACTTGGAAGAGGACAAAAAATTGAGACGACAGTTTGAGGAGGATGAAAGGTCAAGAATTCTAAGCTAGTGATAAAAATTTCGTCAACATCAATGAATAGGTAATGTAAACACATTAATCCTGGGATGGATGTGAGAAGAGCAAAGAAAGGAATCCTGGGGGAATATCAGCTCTAAAGGTTGAGTAGAGAAGGAAGGAGTGATCTGAGAGGTGGAAGGAGGAGTAGGAATTATCATAGAAACTTTAAGCTTCTTGAGGGCTTGTGACTGTGTCATGTTCATCATTTTATCTGAAGTTCTTATCAACAAAGTAGCTTTCAGTAAATATTTATTAAATGAAGATAAAAATTTTAAGAGCCATCTGCAATGTCAAATGTAGCCCACAGTTGAATGAATATGAGGACAGGGAAGTGTCCCTTGATTTTGGTGTTAAGCAGCTGATTGCCACCTTCTGTAGAACAGCTTCAGTGGAGTCTCCATAATAGAAATAAATGCCAGGTTGCTGAGGACTAAGCGTGGATATTTGTTGAGAGTGGAGACAGTAAGTGCAAACATTCTTTTCAGAAAGCTTTGCTCTTTTTGAAGCTTTGCTCATAGGGAGATACAAGATAGTAGGTAGAGGGGCAGGCTGTGTTTAGATGAGAGAGACTTCAGCATGTTTATATGCTAAATGGAAAAAGGAAAAAGGAAGGGAGAAGTTGAAGATGTAGAATAAAGGAGGTGTGTGTGAATGATTGTACATTGTCTTTGAGGTTAGTGGGAATGGAGTGAAGATACTGGGTTGCAGTACAGATGAGAATACAGTTTCCACTGAAGTAGGAATAAAGGAACAATAGATGGTGCAGATGGGGAAGTGTTTGGGTGGCAGGTGAGAATTCGGGATATGAACACTTTATTTTTTTCAGTGAAGGGGGGATAAGGTCATCCACTGAGATAGTGGGGAGGAAATGATGATTGTAGGGGACTGAGGAGAAAAGGAGAATTTCAAGAAAGCCTCTGAGGGAGGTGAGAGGGCAAGCTGAGTGGGAATACTTAGAAAAAATGGAATCATGGATTTTTCACGGCTGTGGTATATATATTTGTATGAATGATCTCCTCCTTCTCTCAGGGCTCAGCAGCCTGGGTGAACACACAATTGAACAGTTGGATTGATCTTGGCCTGGATTTTATGTGTCAGTGTGACAGAGAGGGTAAGGAGGCAAGATATTTCAGTAGCGAGAGTGTTTGAAGTGGTGGGCCATTGAGTCTAGGCTGAATAGGGAACAAATGAAACCAGAAGGTGGCTGCTGGGACATGAAGTGGTTGGTGTTCAAGACTGGATAGTGGAATTGAAGATTGAACGGGAGGAGCAGTTGCTGGTTATGACAGAGTACAGGATCCAGCTATGGAGTGGGTTTATGAAGTAGAGACAACGTTCCCAAGTCTTTAGTGAACATCAGAGAGTGTCATCTGTTAGAACTTTAGCTGCGGCCGGGCAAGGTGGCTCATGCCTGTAATCCCAGCACTTTGGGAGGCCGAGGTGGGCGGATCACCTGAGGTCGGGAGTTTGAGACCAGCCTGACCAACATTGAGAAACCCCATCCCTATTAAAAATACAAAATTAGCTGGGCGTGGTGGTGCATGCCTGTAATCCCAGCTACTCGGGAGGCTGAGGCAGGAGAATAGCTTGAACCTGGGAGGTGGAAGTTTCGGTGAGCCGAGATTGCACCATTGCACTCCAGCCTGGGCAACGAGTGAAACTCAGTCTTAAACAAAAAAGAACTTTTGCTCAAAGGCAGGTGGTAGCAGATAAGAGATAAGGAAAATTTAGTGAAGAAAAATTCAGTTTTTAAAAACGTTTTAGGCTGGGCGTGGTGGCTCACGCCTATAATCCCAGCACTTTGGGAGGCCGAGGTGGGCAGCTGGCTTGAGCCCAGGAGTTTGAAACCAGCCTGGGCAACATGGCAAAACCTTGTTTCTACAAAAAATACAAAAAATTAGTCAGGTATGGTGGCATGCACCTGTAGTCCCAGCTACTTGAGAGGCTGAGGTGGGAGGATCTCTTGAGCCCAGGAAGTTGAGGCTGCAGTGAGCTGTGATTGTGCCACTGCGCTCCAACCTGGGCAACAGAGGGAAACCCTGTCTCAAAAAACCCCAAAAAACAAAAAACAGCATTTTATTTTGGTGATGGAATTCTCTATTGTTTCGAAGAGTTTTGTTTGTTTTAAAGACATTAACCAGTTTTCTCGAGGGATATTCTATGAAAAAGTGGGTTCCATCATCCAATAAGTTTGAGAAACTGCAAACTCTATCCCATTGGTAATTCACAATGAACCTCAACTTAGATTAATAAAGGCTCTGGGAAATGATGTTACTATTAATGATTTAACCTTTATTGAGCACTGTCTAAGGCTCTGTTCTAAGGCTCCCACGTGCATTATTGTTTCCAGTCTTTACAGCAACTATCTCATTTAAGTTACACTGCTAAGCTAGAATGGAAGAGCTGGGATTCAAATCCAGAAAGACTTGCTCCATAGGGTTCTCAAGCCTATAACCAGTATGGAAACAGGCTTGACATTAAATCCAGCATTTCCCCATCTTGTTTGGTTATGGAACCTTATTATCTTTTAGTATTTATAGAGAGATTAGTCAGTTGTCCACGGCATGGACCCTGGGAAGTGTTGCCTGAGTCAGTTTACACTGGTGACTGCAGTCTTTTAAACAGCATTGTTTCAGACTATAACTAGTTTTTTCTAACTTGGTTCTCTGTTGATAATACTTAAATGTTATATTTATTTTTCTATTTGAGAGCCTTATATTTTGACTTCAAGGCATTTTCTATTCCCTTTCACAATGACCTTCCCAGGAATCAAAGATATTGTCACCACCACACATTACATTTGAGTTACTAAAACAGTTTATAATCCAAATAGCTATTTCACTTTCTTTTCTCTGGTCTAAGATTATCTCATTGTAATTTGTTTTTTAAATTTAGAGACAGGGTCTTGCTATGTTGTCCAGGCCAGTCTCAAACTCCTGAGTAGCTGAAAATATAGGCATGTGTCACCTCAACCAGTTTATTGTAAAATTTTAATGTTTAGAGATCTTGGAGATCATCTTTTATTTTTAACAGTATTTATTTAGTTTTGCAGGTAGAGAAAATGACAGCTGTGTAGTGCTGTGGAAATTATAATAATTCATATCCAAGCTTGAATGTCAGCTCCACCTCTTTACTATAGCTGTGGCCTTAGAAAACCTACTTCATTTCTTGAAACTTGTTTCTTCCTCTAAAAAGATGAGGATAATATCTTGCAGGGTGGCTATGAAAATTAAGACAGTTCATACAGTATCTGGCACATGGAAAGTTCTCAATGTTAATTACCCATTTTTTTCTGTTTAAGGAAATAGTCTCAATCCTATACCATGAATGAATTATGAAAATAGTTGGAAAGGAAACAACAGTTTTAAATGTAAACTGTCTCAGTCTTATGCTGACATCAGCTACATTTCTGGTAAAGTGATGGTGTCATGATACAGGTTATATTAAGAGTTAAAACCAGTTTCCTTCTGGCTTTCCAACTGACATAATAAGCAAAACCTGCCTGGGCAAACATAGACCTATTTATTGGCTCACTTATTATTAATGTTAAACTAGCTTTGGTGCTGACTTCTGTTCTTGTTTTAAAATTTCACTGTTGTCATTTAAAATCTGACAGACCTTCAGAAGCTTCATAGAATGCTTAATGGTTTAAATCGTCTCTAGAACATGTGAAGTATCTTTTCCAAAGTGGTTTTCTCCATCTGTCAGTATGTTCAAAATCATGTGTATAGGGCCGGGCGCCGGTGGCTCACGCCTGTAATCCCAGCACTTTGGAGGCTGAGGCGGGTGGATCACGAGATCAAGAGATCGAGACCATCCTGGCTAACATGGAGAAACCCCGTCTCTACTAAAAATATAAAAATTAGCTAGCCATGGTGGCGCGCACCTGTAGTCCCAACTACTCGGGTAGTCCCAACTACTCGGAAGGCTGAGGCAGGAGAATCACTTGAACCCGGGAGGCGGAGGTTGCAGTGAGCCAAGATCGCGCCACTGCACTCCAGCCTGGGCAACAGTGCAAGACTCTGTCTCAAAAAAAAAAAAAAAAATCATGTATATAGGACAGAATTGCTTATATTTTCACAATTACTACTGGATGCCTGTTTGGTTTTCATAGCAATCAACTTTTGGAGTTTATGGGCAGTACTTAACATATATAACCTAAGTGTGGATAATTATTTAAAATAAGGCTACTGGAAGAAAAATCTATAGGGATTTCTCAGTTTTCACAACAGCATCCTGAGCAAAGAAAAAATAGGTTGGTTTGAGTTGTATGTGATGAGATTTCTAATATTCTATTCGAAATGCCCCCTAGTAAGCACTAGTGATAGGTATTAATGAGCTGAATTTGATTTCTAGTTCCAACTCTGTCCCTTGCAACTTCGGTAACCTTGAAGGTTTGTCTACGTTTCAGTTTCTTCATATGTAAAAGAGATTACCAATATTTCCCTCCCAAGGCTGCTGTAACAGTGAAGTGTTGAGGTATTTATTTATTTATTTATTTATTTATTTATTTTTTTGAGACAGAGTCTTGCTCTATCGCCCAGGCTGGAGTGCAGTGGCATGATCTCGGCTCACTGCAAGCTCCGCCTCCCAGGTTCATGCCATTCTCCTGCCTCAGCCTCCCGAGTAGCTGGGAATACAGGTGCCCGCCACCACGCCCGGCTGATTTTTTCTATTTTTAGTAGAGACAGGGTTTCACCGTGTTAGCTAGGATGGTCTCGATCTCCTGACCTCGTGATCTGCCCGCCTCGGCCTCCCAAAGTGCTGGGATTACAGGCGTGAACCACCGCGCCCGGCCGTGTTGAAGTTTTTAATATAGCCAGCACAGCATGTGGCACATAGTAGGCACACAGCCATTGCATGTTTCTTCCAGACATCTCACTGCATTTTTCAGTAATATTCTTTTCAAGTACGTTCTTCTTTCTCATTCCTTAACATTTAAAAGCTGTATTGAAGAGAGAATATTAATGTTTGCGAAGTAAACTGAAAATATTTCCTTTGCAGCCCACACTTGAGTGTTTTAGGCCGGGTGCGGTGGCTCACGCCTGTAATCCCAGCACTTTGGGAGGCCGAGGTGGGCGGATCACCTGAGGTCAGGAGTTCGAGACCAGCCTCAATATGGAGAAACCCTGTCTCTACTAAAAATACAAAATTAGCTGGGTGTGGTGGTGCATACCTGTAATCCCAGCTACTTGGGAGGCTGAGGCAGGAGAATTGCTTGAACCCGGGAGGCAGAGGTTGCGGTGAGCCGACATTGCGCCATTGCACTCCAGCCTGGGCAACAAGAGCGAAACTCTGTCTCAAAAAAAAAAGAGTGTTTTAGCAAAAAATGATTTTATGTATGACATACCTTGGTTTAAATCCTGGCTTTTTAATTTTAATTTTTTATTTTTTGAGACAGGGTCTTACTCTGTGGCCCAGGCTGGGGTGCAGTGATGTGATCTCTGCTCACTGCAACCTCCGCCTCCCAGGCTCAGGTGATTCTCCCACCTGAGCCACCTGAGTAGCTGGGAGTAGAGGTGTGCTCCACTATGCCTAGCTAATTTTTCTATTTTTAGTAGAGACAGAGTTTCACCATGTTGCCCAGGCTGGTCTCAAACTCCTGGGCTTAAGTGATCCACCAGCCTCGGCCTCACAGTGTTGGGATTACAGGTGAGAGCCACCAAGCCCGGCCTGAATCCTGGCTTTTGAATGTAATAGTGTTGTGACCTTAGGCAAGCTGCTTAACCTATCCATAAATATTATGAGGCTAAAGTGAGTAATAGTATGTGTAAAACATCTAGTTCATTGTCTGGTTTGTATATTTCCAAAATAAATGTTATTATTTTAAGTGGAAACTGTTGTTTAATTTGATAATTCATATAATTCATGGCTTTTGAGAGCCTGCTCTACTCAAAGCCCGTTAAGAGCAGGCAGGAACATTGTGAACGAATGTTGGGCATATTATTATGCAAGTGACTGAATTTGGCTTTGCCTGTAATCAGGTTCAGCAAAAGTGGTATTTTCTTTCTTTCTTTTTTTTTTTTTTTTTTAATTGAGATAGTCTCGTCCTGATGGCCAGACTGGAGTACAGTGGTGTGATCTCGGCTCACTGCATCCTCCGCCTCCTAGGTTCAAGCGATTCTTCCACCTCAGCCTCCCAAGTAGCTGGGATCACAGGTATATGTCACCATGCCTGGCTAATTTTTGTATTTTTTGTAGAGATGGGGTTTCGCCATGTTGGCCAGGCTGGTCTTGAACTCCTGACCTACAGTGATCCGCCTGCCTTGGTCTCCCAAAGTTCTGGGATTACAGGCGTGAGCCACTGAACCTGGCCAAAAGTGGTATTTTCTATTGCATTTGAGGTAACAGAAATTGATGGGCTTGTTATTGCATTTGGCGTGGCTGGTTTTTTTTTTCCATGTTGTCTTTCTCCACTGACTGTCAAAAAAAAAAAAAAAAAAAAAGGCTACATTCATGAGTGCCACAAGAGAGATTCATGATTCCCAAGTGCTACAGCAGACCAAGGTATCTAAAAAGTTTTTCATCTTTTGCTGATCTTGTTTATTAGAAATAAATATGTTACTCTCCTGTATTAAAATTTAACACAATATTGGCAAGCTAAATTTAATCAAATATTCTGCCCATTTTAAAATTCACTTCCTAGCCTGTCCATCCTTCCTTTTATTTTGTTGTTGTTTGATTTTGTTTTATTGTATGCTTTTAGCAGCCTGAAGCCATGGTTTTTAGTTTCTGTCTGTAGTGATAAGTGGAAAGGAGGGATGAGGAAGGGGCTTTACTGGCCCAACCAGAAATAGAAACTAAGAACCCAGGACTGTATTATCTCCCTTGGACACCCAACACTATATAAAATTGATTCCTGCCCTGGCAGACTAAGCGTTGGAAAGCTGGTGCTAAGAGTGTTATGAGAATTCCTAATAAATAGAAAAGCTCAAGGATTGACACTATAGTAAAAGATTTCATTTTGACATGTTTATAATTTACTTATCAAGTTAACAATAAGGTGTTTTTATTTATTTATTTTTGTTTATTTTTATTTTATTTTTTGAGACGGAGTCTCGCTCTGTCGCCCAGGCTGGAGTGCAGTGGCTTGATCTTGGCTCACTGCAAGCTGTGCCTCCCGGGTTCACGCCATTCTCCTGCCTCAGCCTCCCGAGTAGCTGGGACTACAGGCACCTGCCACCACGCTCGGCTAATTTTTTATATTTTTAGTAAAGATGGGGTTTCACCATGTTGGCCAGGATGGTCTCAAACTCCTGAACTTGTGATCCACCCGCCTTGGCCTCCCAAAGTGCTGGGATTACAGGCATGAGCCACTGCACCTGGCCTTTTTTTGGTATTTTTAGTAGAGACGGAGTTTCACCATGTTGGCTAGGCTGGTCTCGAACTCCTGACCTCAAGGCCTGCCTTGGCCTCCCAAAATGCTGAGATTACAGGCATGAGTCCCAATAAGATTTTTAAAGGGATACCAAAATAATCAACATTTATTTTAGAAGGTGACTTTCTTCAATGAGATGTCAATGTCTACTTTCTGTTATATAGTGCTATTGTTTCTTTTTTCTTTTTTTTCTAAGTGAGGGTCTCACTCTATCACCCAGGCTGGAGTACAGTGGCATGATCTCGGGTCACTGCAACCTTCACCTCCCAGGTTCAAGCAATTCTTTCACCTCAGCCTCCAGGGTAGCTGGAACTACAGGTGTGCATGCCTCGCTAAGTTTTGCATTTTTAGCAGTTGTTGGCCAGGCTGGTGTACTGTTTCTTTTATTGATTGAGTTCTATATTTACACAGCATGAAAGTCTCAGTTGCATTAAGTACATTCGCATTGTTATGCAACCATCACCATTATCTAGTTCCAGAGTTTTGCTGTCACCCTAATAGAGCTTGTATATATGTCTCCACCAAATCTTATGTTGAATTGTAATTCCCAGTGTTTGAGGTGGGGTCTGTTGAGAGGTGTTTGGGTCATGAGGCAGATCCCTCATGGCATAGTGTTGTCCTCGCAGTAGTGAGTGAGTTCTCACGATCTCCTTACTCCATCCACCTGCTTCTCCTAAAACTTTGAAATATGCTTGGAATTGAAAGTGTTTAGTTTGAGGATAGTTATCTAAAAGTGACATACAGGGCTCCTGCTTTGCTCTTCCTTAGTAAATTTCCTATTTTATTACACAGTTTACTAATACAGAGGACTAGAGTTTTGTTATTTCCATGGAAAACATTATTGAATCTAAATTTAACTAGAGATGTGTAGTTCAGGGAGGGAGAGTGGTTTTATAATATGAATCTTGGATTTGAAATGAACTTAAAGCAAATGAATAAAAATTGTTTCATTAATTATAATGTCTGAAATAATGCATGTTTTTGTGAATAAAAATTGATATAATAAAGTTTAAAGTGACAGGAGTAGATATAACTAATTGTATTTATAATTTCTTGGATGTAAAATAACATTTTTGAAAAATATTATACAATGACCTCACATACAGTGACCTCACTTAATCTATGTGAGGCTATACACAGTGGCTCATGCCTGTAATCCCAGCACTTTGGGAGGCTGAGGCAGGTGATTGCTTGAGCCCAGGGGCTTAAGACCAGCCTGGGAAACATGGTGAGACCCTGTCTCTACAAAAAATACAAAAATCAGCTGGGCATGGTGAGGCGCACCTTTGGTCCCAACTACTTGGGATGCTGAGGCAGGAGGATCACTTGAGCCCAGGAGGTTGAGGCTGCAGTGAGCTGTGATCGCACCACTGCACTCCAGCCTGGGTAACAGAATGAGACCCTATCTCAAAAAAAAGAAAAAAGTCTATGTGGAAGATACCACGTTAATTGTTTTGGGTGGTTTAGAGATGTTTCTGTCTCCTTCACTGATGACCATGTGTCTCTGCTGCTGTCGCTCACTGGTGATTATCAACTCAACTTCTTACATTTGTTTTAACAAATATTTATACACCCTTTGTAAATTTGCATGAGATAAAGTCATTATAGTTAAAAAAATTGTTTTTTTTTTTTTTTTTGAGACAGAATCTTGCTCCATTGACTAGGCTGAGTGCAATGACATCATCATGGCTCACGGCAGCCTGAACCTCCTGGGCTCAATTGATCCTCCTACCTCAGCCTCCTGAGTAGCTGAAACTACAGGTGCATGCCACTATGCCCAGCTTGTTTTTTATTTTTTGTAGAGACAGGGTCTCACTATGTTGGCAGGCTGGTCTCTAACTCCTGGGTTCAGGTGATCCTCCTGCCTCGGCCTCCCAAAGTGTTAGGATTTCAGGTGTGAGCCACCATGCCTGTCCTATGAAGTCATTACAAAGAAATTAAATTAATTGGTTTCATTGGCAGTATTGAATTTCAAAGCAGAAGGGGTGCTTAAGAGAAATAATGCCTTTGGAGTAATTTCTGATGCTAGATGAAACTCATATCTCATTTAAGGTGTCCATCTGAATTTTATGTTTGGATGATTATGAATTATTCCTTAAAGCTTGAAGTGAACTCTGGCTCTCTAGGACAAATTAATCTTTATTCCTTTAATCTTTATTCCCTTAGGTATATATTAAAGGGATCAAATTTTTTTTTAGAGTAATGTAAAATTAAGGGACTTCTTTTGTTAGGTGAATTTCTCAGGTTTTAAGATATCAGTATCATTGTGGACATTGACTACATTGTCTACTAAATTCTGTAATTTTAACTTATAATTCTCAGTAATTGGCTGGGTGTGGTGGCTGACGCCTGTAATCCTAGCACTCTGGGAGGCCAAGGCGGCAGATCACCTGAGGTCAGGAGTTGGAGACCAGCCTGGCCAACAGGGTGAAACCCCGTCTCTACTGAAAATACAAAAAAATGAGCCGGGCGTGGTGGCGGGTGCCTGTCATCCCAGCTACTGGGGAGGCTGAGGCAGGAGAATTGCTTGAACCCAAGAGGTGGAGGTTGCAGTGAGTTGAGAATGCGCCATTGCACTCCAGCCTGGGTGACAAGAGTGAAACTCCATTTCAAAAATAAATAAATAAACAATAAAAATAAAAATACAAAAATTAGCTGGGCGTGGTGGCGGGTGCCTGTAATCCCAACTACTCGGGAGGCTGAGGCAGGAGAATCGCTTGAACCCGGGAGGCGGAGGTTGCAATGAGCCGAGATCACGCCACTGCACTCCAGCCTGGGCTACAAGAGTGAGACTCTGTCTCAAAATAATAATAATAATAATTCTCAGTAATTTTTGCAATTTTTTTGGTACCTAAAATAATTTCTGTTATTGTGTTGGATAACTTTGTCAACTTCACTTTGGGAATATCTAAATATAGGTAGCTGCATTCGAGCCAGAGGAATATTGGGTTTTTTTGTTGTTGCTTATTTTTGAGGCAGCCTTACTTTGTCACCCAGACTGGAGTACATTGGCACAATCATGGCTCACTGCAGCCTTGACCTTCTGGGCTCGTGTGGTCCTCCCAACCCAGCCTCCCAAGTAGTTGGGACTAAAGGTGTGCACCACCATGCCTGGCTAATTTTTAAATTTTTTTGTAGGGATGGAATTTTGCTATGTCACCTAGGCTGGTTTCGAACTCCTAGGCTCAAGCAGTCCTCCCACCTTGGCCTCCCAAAGTGCTGGGATTACAGGTATGAGCCACCACACCCAGTTGAGCAATACTGGGTTTTAATCAAGATTATTGTCTGAATATTGAGTCTTAATGACTTTTTTGATTTTGTTTTTTTGGCCATAGTATTAAGTTTGCAGTTGATAACCTTCTGTACTAACTAGAAGTAGTATAGAAACTGCAAATTAAAAAAAAACCCCAGGTAAAATGTTGATGGCTGCTATTTTTATTTAAGGTATTAGTAAAGGAAAAGAAGTCAGGGACATTATGGAGGTCAAGTTTTATATTATTAAAACTCAACTTCATGATTTATACATACTTAGAAATAGTCTGAGTGATGTGTGACCAAAATATGATTTCTAGGAGGAATGATTGTTACATCCGTGGAATAGCTGCGTACACTTTATTGTTCTTGGTGCTTAAACTTTAGTTGTCCTGCTAAGATAAAGGAAGACATTCTTTCAGTTGGAAATCATAATGTATTTCTCCATTGAAACAGTATGGTTTGAACAGTGCTATATATTCTTACTCATTATTATTCCTTAAATGAATATTTTAAGCTCCTGATAGAAGGCAGGTACTGTGTTATATGCTGTTGGTGTTACCAGAATACAAAGATGAAGAGAACAAAGTATTACACAATTCCTAATCTCACATAAATGCTATTTTTTTTACTAGCTGTGGGGAGCACAAAATAAGTGGTTGAAAGTCATCTGACACAGTTACATTTATTCCTTTCCTTTTCCATGGCTCTTAGGAATAAATTGTTCTACTCTATGGATTAAATTGCCCTTTGTTTATTGCCTGGGATCCCAACTTTATTTCATAATTTTATTTCTTTGAGGAAACGTTTCACAAGTTTTATAACAAAGTATAACTCAATTTGGAGAGCACAATCTGTGCATAAGTTGGAGGCTACCTATTGTGAAATGGAAAAATGCTTGTCCTAGCATTACTAAGTTAATGTATAGCTGGTAGAAAGTTTTCACTTTTAATTGCTAACTTGCCTAGTGAGAGTGAAAGATTGATTACGGCAACTAAAAAGTATAAAAACTACTGAGTAGTTTTTAGGTACAGTCAGTTCTTCAGTAGAACAAGAATCTTTAGAAATAACTTTCACTAATTCTTTACTAGTTGTTTTTCCTATTTCTCTTGGATATGGATCATCAGAATGTTTTTTGTCCCTCTTACCCGCCCCCCCCCACCCCGTCTGCCACCCCCCGCCTCCCACTTTTTTGTTGGGAGGCTTATGTGAGAGCATTAGAGGCCTTGAATGTTTGGGTAGACAAGGTAAGTATTCAAATAAACATTTCAAGATCATTGTGACAGTGAAATTATTTGATATGAAAAAGGATCTCAGTTATTAGAAAAAACACAACTGTGTTAATACTGACAGCCAGCGTTGCTATAAGTGTTTTATGTGCATTATCTCACTTAAGCTTTACAACAGTCCTAAGAGAGGAATGCTGTGGTTATTACACCCACTTGACAGACCAGGGAGCAGAAGCACAGAAACCCAAGGATTTCTGCCGTCAGTGTCATGCATTTGGCTGGAGTTATGATGTCGTGCAAGTAATGTTCCTTCTTTTTCCCTCTAATTCATTTTTATGTTTTTCTTTTACAGGGCAATTTTGTAAGATTTAGTTTCCAGGGGTCAGGTTTGTTTGGGTTTTATGTCCTTGGGAAATCCTCAGTACCTTATTTCCCATATTCCATATTTTTTAACCTTAATTTTTTTTCCCCTCAAATGTTATACAGTTTAATGAGTCAAGTGGTCTTTCAGGGATTGTTAAAACAAACAGTAATTCTCAGCTTCCACCTTCATTTCCTCCTCTCATAGGTAACCATCCTCAACTCATAGGTATTTGGAATTTACCTGTGGTTTTTCAAGAAACATTTAAAAAATTGATTTACTTGAATTTTCAGGTTAGAACATAAATTATTTGCATGATTTGCTGTGTCCTTGTGACTAACTCAAACTAAACATTCTATCAGTTGTCCAAATTTCCCATTTTCTTTCAAATTTCCCATTTCCTTCACTTACTTTGTCAGTTTCATCATCTTGAAGAAGCCTTTTCCAGAGCACAGTGCTCCAACATGGAGTAGTCTCTGTTTTCTCATAGTGCCCAGCAATTATCCTTGGAATTCTCTTTTCTTTTCTCCTGCATTGGCACTTCTGTTTCTTCTCCTCTTATGTCTTCCTGTTTCATGGGAGGCAAATATTTGATACCTTATGTTTTTTGAAAACACTTTATTTTCCTCTCACCCTTCATTAGTGGTTTCACTGTATGTAACATTGAGATTGATGATTTTGCTCCATTGTCTTCTAGCTTGTGTTATGCCTGTTGAAAGTACAAAATCATTCTGGAAGCTTATCTATTGTTAGCTATTTCCCTCTTCTGGAAGCTTGTAGGATCTTCCCTTTGTTTCCACTGTTCTGAAACTTGTAAATGATATGCTTTAATATGGTTGTACTGTATTTTAAACAATTATGCTCTGCACTCAGTGTTTTTTTGTTGTTGTTTTTGTTTTTTAATTTTTAAATTTATTTATGTATTTTTAAATTTATTGTTTTTGTTTGTTTTTTGAGACGGAATCCCACTCTCGCCCAGGCTGGAGTGCAGTGGCATGATCTTGGCGCACTGCAACAACCTCCGCCTCCTGGGTTCAGGTGATTCTGGTGCCTCAGCCTACCCAGTAGCTGGAATTACAGGCGTGCATCACCACGCCAAGCCAATTTTTGTTTTTTTGTTTTGTTTTGTTTTGTTTTTTTGAGACAGAGTATCACTCTGTTGCCCAGGCTGGAGTGCAGTGGTGCGATCTCGGTTCACTGCAACCTCCGCCTACTGGGTTCAAGCCATTCTCATGCCTCAGCTTCCCGAGTAGCTGAGATTACAGGTGTACCACCACGACTGGCTAATTTTTTTGTATTTTTAGTAGGGACGGGGTTTCACCATGTTGGGCAGGCTGGTCTTGAACTCCTGACCTCAAGTGATCCACTCACTTCGGCCTCCCAAAGTGCTGGGATTATGGGCGTTAGCCACCGTGCCTGGCTTCACTCAGTGTTTTCAGTTAGGAAACTTACATTGTTTAGTTTTGGGACATTTTCTTGAATTATTTCACTGATTTTTTTTCCTCTCTGTTTTCTCCCGTGGATTCCCCATTGCATAGATGCTGAATTATCTTGACTGGACCTCCAGTTTTTTCTTCTTTATTCTGTTGCCATCTCTTTGATTCCTTATTCTTTCTGATAAATTTTCCTAAGTTTAATTTCCAAGGGCTCTTTGGAAAAGTATCGATTTTTTTTCATGGATGGAGTATCTACTCTTTTGACACAGGGTCTTGCTCTGTCGTGGCTCACTACAGCTTTGATTGCTCAGGCTCAAGCGATCCTCCTGCCCTAGCCCTCCCAGTAGCTGGTACTACAGGCCTGCACCGCCAAACCTAGCTAACTTTTTTGATTTTTAGTAGACAAGGTCTCGCTGTGTTGCCCAGACTGGTCTCGAACTCTTAAGCGCCAAGCATTTCTCTTGCCTCAGCCTCCTAAAATTCTGGGATTACAGTGTAGTATCTTCTGTATTCTTTCCATGGACACTAATGATGGGGTATAAAATTCCTTTTATTTATTTATTTTTTTATTGACATCAGAAATTCCTGCTAATAAAATTCTTTTTAAATTTTAAGTTTTTTTCTTCCCACAGTTGTCCGTGTTTCCTCCAAGTTCCTTTTCTATTTTTTGTTTTCCTTTGTTTTCTTTTTGTGGTAGATGCTTTCCTCAGATGAGTGGTAATCCTTGACTATTTGCAGTTATGCCTCTAAAAGCTGATTGGAAGCTCTTAGTACCTCATTGGTACTTGTTGAGTAGAGTTCACTCTGGGGTGATCTATCTGTGTCATTTGCTGGGGCACCCTTCATGTCAGCTTCTGATTACTTTTCCCTTTTCTGAAAAGGGAGAGGTCTTTTAATTTCCTGTCTGGTGGGAGGAGGTCTGTATGCCACTTCTGTGGGAGAGTGAGGGAAGTAGGGCAGTGAGGATTTCAGTATTCAGTACATATGTGTTTTCTTAAGGCTTCTGTTTTCATTAAGCCTCCCCCGCACCAATGTGCTTTATGTTTCCCTGCTCTGAAATCCTCCTGAGGGAATAATCCTCTAGAATTTTGCCTTGGTGGGAAAAGCGTAGTAACCTAACCATGTGGTATTTAGGAAGGTACTGAGAGATTGAGCGTTTCCTAAGGAGCTTTCAGCCAGCCTTCTTTATTTAGTGCTCCCTTCACACCTGTTTCTACAGGCGCTATCTGTTACCAGTTCCTGAGCCTTTTGAGGATTCTGTGGACGAAGGTTGGTTTTTGGCTTTCCATACTGCTGGTTTCTTGGATCTGCTATGTCAGTTACCATTTATGCATTTGCTTTCTAGCTTTTAAATTTTGTTTATGCCTTAAAAATACCTGATGAGGGCCAGGCGTGGTGGCTCAGGCCTGTAATCCCAGAATTTTGGGAGGTCGAGGCAGGTAGACTCCTTGCGTCTGGGAGTTTGAGAGAAGCCTGGGCAACATAGCAAAACCCCATCTCTACTATAGAAAAATTAACCCAGTGTGGTGGTGCACGCCTGTGGTCCCAGCTACTTGGGAGTTTGAGGTGGGAGGATCGCGTGAGCCTGGGATGTGGAGGTTGCAGCGTGCTGAGATCATGTCACTGTACTCCATCCTGGGTGACAGAATGAGACCCCATCTCAAAAACAAAAACAAAAACCCCCCAAAAACCTTATTAGTATTTTAGCACAATTTGGGGAAGAAATGAAGTTAAATATATGTATGTTCCATCTTCTCTTTACCCAGAACTTATTTCTAATTTTTTTTTTGTTAAGCATCTTTTTTGTTGTGGTAAAATATACATAAAATTTATTATTTATAAGTATACAGTTCAGTGACATTAAGTACATTCACAATGTTTTACAGCCATCACTACTTTCTAGTTCTAGAACTTTTCTATCACACCAAAAAGAAACCCCATACTCATTAAGCAGTCACTCCCCATTCCCTCCCTCCCTCAGCCCCTGGAAGCCACGAATGTGCTTTTTGTTTCTATGGATTTGCCTTTTGTGGATATTTCATATAAATGAAGTCATTCAGTATGCGGCCTTTTGTCACATGTTTTCATTTACCATAATATTTTTGTGGTTCATCTATGGTATAGCATAGATCACTGCTTCCTTCTTTTTTATGGCTGAATAATTTTCATTGTGTGGATATATCACATTTTGTTTATCTGTTCATCAGTTGATGAACTTTTGGGTTGTTTCTGCTTTTTCTGGCTATTGTAAATAGTGCTGTTATGAACACTGATGTACAATTTTTTGGGGTGAACATTTGTTTTTATTCTTTTGGGTATATACCTCGGTGTGGAATTGCGGGATCATATATGGTAATTCTGTCTTTAACTTAATGAGGAACTGCCAATCTGTTTTCCTCAGTGACTGTACCATTTTATATTCCTATTAGCAATACACAAGTGTCCCAATTTCTCCACATTTTTGCCGACACTGTTTTCCATTAAAAAATTTTTATTGTAGTCATTCTAGTGGGTGTAAAGTGGTATCTTTTTGTTTTGATTTGCATTTCCCCAGTAACTAATGACATTGAGCCTTTTTTCATGTGCTTGTTGGCCATTTGTATATCTTCTTTGGAGGAATGTCTGTTTAAGTCCTTTGCCCACTTTAAATTGTGTTGTCTTTGTGTTGTAGAGTTGTAAGAGTTCTTTATACATTCTGGGTACTAGACATGATTTTCAAATTTAGATACATGATTTTCAAATCTTTTGCCTCTAGATGTTTTTTACTTTTTTATTTTTGATCCTTGAACTCATCTATATTCTATGGTTGTGATGTAATGATGTCAGAATTGGTGTCATTTGTGTTTATTTACCAGGTTATTTGGAAGGATTATATTTTAGGTGCTCTCCTCTCCCCCAGTAAATGGTATTATGACACAAGGGTTATAAAGGACTGATAAGAAATTACTTAAGACAGAAAGGGAAGTTGGCCTGCTTCCAAAATATGGTCCCAGCAGAAGTGAAGTTAGTTACACAAATAACTACAGTCAAAAAGCTATTTTTATCCATGATAATGTATTTGTTGTTATTAATATTAAAGATTATATTTTGCCAGGTGCAGTGGCTCACATCTATAATCCCAGCACTTTGGGAGGCTTAGGTGGATGGATCACTTGAGCTCAGGAGTTTGAGACCAGCCAGGGCAACATGGTGAAACCCCATCTCTACAAAAAATGAAAAATTAACCAGGCTTGGTGGTGCGTGCCTGTACTCCTAGCTACTTGCGAGTCTGAGGTGGGAGGATAGCTTGAGCCCAGGAGGTCAAGGCTGTGGTGAGCCGAGATCGTAGCACTGCACTCCAGCCTGGGCAACAGGACAAGACCCTGTCTCAAAAACAAAACGAAACAAAACAAAACAAAACGACTATATTTCTGCATTAAGTGGGGGTATAGAATCCTATCTAATATTTGAGATAATAATTGTTATAGTATTTTATTGAGCTTTTATTGGGTACCAGATGTGTTCTAAGTTTTTTTCATGAATTATTTTCGTTAATCTTATTCATTGTTGTGTCCTGAATGAGTACTCACATATTTGTTGAAGGGCTCAATGGTCCCTAAAACCTTACATGCTGTTTTGGAAGGTTAACTTGCCAAAGGTCACATAGTTGGCAAATGATGAAGCTGAGATTAACATTAAGATCTGATTCCAAAGTAGTCTTTCTTAACTATATTGCTTTATGTGGAGTTTTGTCGCTGATATCTAGACAGAAAGTCTCTAGCAATGGAAAAAAAATAATTTTTAATTAATTTTAATTTTTTTAGTGTTTTGCTTCTTTTATTTTTTTTATTTTGTGAGCCACCGTGCCCAATTGGTTTCTTTTAAAAGACTAGTTAGCTTGTGCTTTAGGCCTCTTGATTACTCTGAGGTATTTAATTAATATCTTTGAAATCCTACGATTTACTGTATCACTTCTGCAATATCTAAATTTTTCCTTCTTACTTATTTCTGTTCTCCTTCTACAGTCCTTTCTATTATGTTTAATCATCAAAACATTGTTCTTGTTTTCTACTGCAGTCTAATTTTTAGTGTTATGCTGTTTCCAGATGCCATTTGGGTCATTTTCAAAAAAAGATGAGTAATAATTAGCAAGTAATGAATATTGTTCTTTTTACCATTCATTAAGAACAATTGTTAATTGTCTTATTCTATTGTGAAGAATATCTGTAATTCCTGCTTAGAACCTGGGTTGATAGCAGGATCTCAGGAAGCACGAAGTGTACACAGAACGATATAGCTGGAAAAAGTATATATGTTAAAGAATAATATGTTGTCTAAGGACAGAATGGAACTGATCACACAGGTTCTTTTTTGGTAAGCTTCAAAACTTCTTATCTCCCATAAAAGTACTTTTTCTTTTATAATATGCAACAATAACTTTCTGTTTAGTTAATTAGTTTTAAAGCAAGCTTAAACTTATAATTTATAAAGAATCATATTTGCTCCCTATCATTGTTTTATAGCTGGGGCTATACTGACAAATAAGAAAAATAAAATTCCTGCCCTTGTGGAGGAGACAGTTAAACAATGAGACAAATACATTTCAGATGGAAATGAGGACAATGGAAGAAGAGTAGAGCAGGATGAAGGCATGAAGGGTGACTGAGAGCTGGTCAATCTTTAGATAGTGTAATACAGGAAACTGCTTTGAAAAGATGACTTTTGAGCAGAGATCTTAATGTACTGAGGGAGTGAACCATTTGAGGTCTGGGGAAAGAATTCAGCTTCCTCTTCAGATGTACAAAATTATAAGATATTGCCATTCTTGTAACTGAAAACCTATAAAAGCAGGATAAGAAGTACGGTTTCTAAAAACCCATCTAAGAGCTGAGGATACAAGGGAACCTAAATGAACCAAACTCCAGAAAGTAATCAAACTTTCGTAGTAGAGAAGAAACCCGTGGTTGCTCTAGGATGGAACAACCAAAGGAATAGGAATCCACCATAGATGAGGGGAAAGGAGAAACCAGCCACATTTTTTTAAATCAGATTTTTAATGGCCACGTATGGGCTGGTTTGACAGGTTAGGATCCTGAGAAGCCCTAGCAACTCTAGCACCAAAGAGCAAGTATGCACCCACACTCCAGCTCCTACCCACAGATGTTCACTGAATGTTCAGGAGTAGTAAGCCAAAAGCCTGGGCCAGTGACGAACTGGCATAGATAATACCTGAGGCATTTGGAACCTCTCCCAGGTATAGGGCAACCACCCTTAGAAGGCAGGATTGCTGAGAGAAATCCAGCAGAGGCACTCCAGGCTTTCAGTTCTGGAATGCTGCAGGCAGGGGAAGAGCTAGAGATAACTCTCACCCCACACTCTGGCAGTCCATGTTTTCAGCCACCAAGGACTGGGGACAGGGCAGAAGAGGTGAGTGAAACTGCTCTAATTCATTTCAGGCCTTCACAGAATGTAAGGAAGCTGGCCTCCAGAAGGCTGGCTGGAGAGGAGGAGCAGGGCTGCACGAGGGCACCTGAGCTTCAGAAAGCAAGGTGTGCGACTGGAGAGCAAGGAGAATCTAGCAAACCAAACTCTGACCGTCGTGCTTAATGCAGAGATAGAGCTCCTACAGTTTTTTTTTCTTTCTTTTTTAAAATATAAACTTGAATTTTTGAAATAGTTTCAGATTTAAAGAAAAATTGCCAAGATAGTATAGAGAGTTCCCATAGATGCTGCCTCTAGTTTTTCCTATTTTTATTTAATTTATTTTTTTTTTAGTTTTTCCTATTTTTAACACCTTATATTAGTATGGTATATTTGTTATAATTAATGAACTAATACTGATATATTTTCATTAACTAAAGTCCATACTTTATTTACCTAATGTTTTGGGATCCCATTTAGCTGTCACATCTCCTTAGGGTCCTCTTGGTTTTGGCATTTTCTTAGACTTGAGCTTCTCATCTCTTGTTTTTGATAACTTTGACAGTTTTGAGGAGTATTGTTCAGGTATTTTGTAGAATGTCCTTCTATTGATATCTGTTTGGTATTTTTGTCATTGTTACAGTGAGGTTTTATATTTTTGGGACGAAGAACATGCAGGTTAAGTACAATTTTCTTTCCTTTTTTTGAGACAGTGTCTCACTCTGTCACCCAGGCTGGAGTGCAGTGGTATGATGACAGCTCACTGCAGCCTTGAACTCCTGGGCTCAACGCGATCCACCCTCCTTAGCTTCCTGAGTAGCTGGGACTACAGATGCATGCCACCACACCTGGCTAATTTTTTTTTTTTTTTTTTTTAATAGAGACAGAGTCTCACTGTATTGCCTAGGCTGGTCTTGAACTCCTAGGCTCATGCAATCCTCCCACTTCAGCCTCCCAAGTAGTTGGGACTACAGACATGTGCCACTATGCTTGGCAGTACCATTTTCATCACATCATATTAAGGGGACATACTGTCAATATGACTAATCGGTGTTGCTATTGACCTTGATCATCTGGTTGAGGTAGTGTTTGTGTATTTCTTTACTACAAAGTTACTCTTTTTTCTCCTCTGTTTACATACTGTACTCTTTGGAAGGAAGTTACATATGCGCAGCCTACACTTAAGGCATGGGGAGTTATGATACCCCTCCTCAAGGGCAAAGTGTCTATATAAATTATTTAGATTTCTTCTGCATGGGAGATTTGTCTCTTCTTCCTCATTTATTTATCCATTCAATTTTTTAAATATTAGTATGGACTTATGGATATTTTATACCTTGGGTTAAAATCTTATTATTGCTTTATTTATTTTATTGGTCAAGTTGTTCCAGCTTTGGCCACTGGGAGCTCTTTCAGTTGGTATGACTTTTTGATATACCACTGTCAGTGTATGTGTGTGTATGTGTGTTTGCACTTTCTCACTTTCTGGCACTACAAGATGCGCTAGTATATTTAGAGACTAAAGCATGTAGTATATGCTTTAGTATATGCTTTATCTAGTATATTTTTCTGTCTCAATCCTAGAATTAGCCATTTCTCCATGGAGCCTTGGTTCCTTTTACTGGAGAATGGAGAAACCAAGATCTAGGTGCTAGGTGCACATGTTGCTACTGGGGTGTTGTTGCTTGTAGGCCATCTCAGCTGACAGAGCCAGAAAATGTATGTATTTATACTACCCTGTATATATCCACATATCTATAAATATTTCTATATGTATCCATCTGTATCTAATTAAGCTAAACATGAGTTTATATTGATGTATTCGGTTCCAGTTGAATCACTACATGGATGATTCTAACTTCCTGCCCTTGCTTATCTAAAAACTCCTGCTCCAATAGTGAGAAATCTGTCTCCTACCATCAGCCACCCATTTACTTAATCATTCTACTCTAGCATACATGTAAGGTACTCCCACAGTTTTAAAAATTGGTGGCTTGGCTATGAAACACAAGCAGGTCTCTGTAATTTTACCTAGGCTCAGATCCCAGACCTGCTCAAGTGAAGGACTTGATCTCAGTCCTTAAATATTTGAAGCCAGTGATTAACTGTCAAATTACAGCTGCATCATAGCCCACACCCAGCTCAGTTACATATTGGATTGACTCAGACTCCCTTCTAGTGTCCTAACAGAAAAATTGTCGTGTCTTTTTCTGGAAGTAAAATATTACTTAATTTAATAAGTAATCTATTTTTATATAAAATGTCTGGTGTGTAATAAAAAGTTACAAGACACAAGAAAAGCAAGAAAATGTGACCAAAGGTCAAGAGAAGAAATAGTCAGTAGAAGAAGACCCAGAGATGATCCAGATTTATCAGAATTATCAGACAGGGATTTAAAGATAATTATGAAAAAAATGCTGGATGATTGAATGATAAAGGTTAACAATATGCTTGAAAAGATGGGGATTTCTGTAGAGTCATGGAAATTATGCCAAAGAACCAAGTTGAAATTCCATTAAATAGAGGTGAAAAATATACTAGCAGAGACCAGAGAAAACAAAAAAAGGAAAGAAAAGAAAAGGAAAGGGAAGGGAGGGGAGGGAAGGGAGAAAGAAAAATATACTAGCAGAAATGAATTCATTACATGGGCTTAACAGTTTATGGACATAGCAGAAGAAAGAATCAGTGAATATGAAGACAGATTGGAAAGAGAAAAGACAGAAAAAGTCAGGGAGGGGTAGAAAAGAGATTTTAGATCTGTGGGATAATATCAGATGGTCTAACATATATGTAATTGGAGTTTCAGAAGGAGAGAAGAGAATGTGGCAGAAGACATATTTGAAGAGACAATGCTCAGGAACTTCTAAAATTGATGAGGTCATCAATTCACAAATGGAAGAAGTTCAGCAAATCCCAAGCAAGTTAAATACAAAACAAAAATAAGCCAACAAATTTAAAAATCCCATATATAGGCATATCATAATCAAACTGCTGAAAATTGAAGATGGAAGAGATCTTACAAGCAACAGGAGAGCAACAGGAGAATAAAGGCACATTAGTTATGTGAGAATGGCAACATGGGTTATGGCTAATCCATGTTTTCAGACCAGAAAAAAATGGAGTCTTAGCTGAGCATGGTGGCACATACTTGAACCCAGGAGTTCGAGTCCAGCCTGGGTAAAGTAGTGAGACCCCATCTCTATTTAAAAAAGAAAAGAAGTCCAGGCATGGTGGCTCACACCTGTAATCTCAGAACTTTGGGAGGTGGGCAGATCACAAGGTCAAGAGGTCGAGACCATCCTGGCCAACATGGTAAAACCGCGTCTCTACTAAAAATACAAAAATTAGCCGGGTGTGGCGGTGCACACCTGTAGTCCCAGCTACTCGGGAGGCTGAGGCAGGAGAATCACTTGAACCCAGGAGGTGGAGGTTGCAGTGAGCTGAGATCACACGCCACTGCACTCCAGCCTGTCGACAGAGCGAGACTCAGTCTCAAAAACAAAGAAAGAAAAGAAAAGAAAAAATAGAATGTTAAATACAATGGGATGACATCCATAAAGAGCTGAAAGAAAAAAAAAAAAACAACCTGTTAACCTAGATTTCTATGGCCAGCAGAAATAGCCTTCAAAAATAATGGCAAAATAAAGACTTTTGGGACATATCAAGAAGGGAAAGAATTTGTTTCCAGCAGACCTGGACTCAAAAAACATTAAAACATACACATTAACAAGATGTGGGTTTTACAGCATATATGTGATTATACAACCATGAAAGAACAAAAAGGAGGAGATGGAATTATACTGTCATATATTTCTTACTCTGTGAAAGGAGACTGTAGTAACTTCTGGATGCATATGTAATCTCTAGAACAAGCACTAAAAACACAAACAGGGATACCATAAAGTCAGTACATCTGCCTAAGAGGGATTAACTGCTACAAGAATCATTCTCCTACAGTAAACAGCTAGAAAACAGGACAAAAATACATGAAACAACTGTTTTCAGACATTGGACAACAGGCAGCACAGGATAGTGATCCCTGAGAGAAGGGAAATAACTGATATGAACCCTACAGGGGTTCCTATAGGCAGTTTCCAGATTGTAGCACAGAGTAGGGGAATCCAAATAGAGCCCAGGAGAGTTTGGAGAAGTCAAGGCAACTAGAATTTGTGGGGCAGAAAACAATAAAAGGAACTACACAGAAATCTATAGAAGTAAGAGAATCTTTGATTGGACACTCATCTGCACATGCAAAGTGTGGAAGTCAGCAGTGCTGGAGAAAGTCACACTGGAAATCAGAACACTGAACAATTCCAGGAGCTCACACAGAGCTGGGAATAGTTTATGTTTCCATTAGGCATAGTGGAGAGACTGTTTCATACAAAGGACATTGGCTAGAGTCTTCAAAGTGGGGTTAAATTAGCTATAGACTAAAGGCCTTTCTAAACCTACCCTAAGCTTCAAGGCAGGTTTTGAAAGGACCAGGCTGATTCTAAGTAACTCAATTATGTGCCAAAACTAAACTCTTTTAAAGAATACAGTAAAAGCCAGCACCTAACAATTAAAATGTTCAGCATTAATAATATATTAATGAAAGATTACTAGGCATACAAATAATAAGCAGGAAAATGACCCATAACCAGGAGAAAAATCAATAGAAAAGAGACCTAGAAATGTGGAATTATTAGAAATAATTCTGATGATTGAATTATCAGCCAAATATGTTAATACAAGTATTATAATGACTAGTAGAGAAATGAATGATAGATAAAAAGACACAAGCCAGATATGGTGACTCACGCCTACACACTTGAGGGTGGGCAGATCATCTTGCCCAACATGGCAAAACCCTGTCTCTACTAAAAATACAAAAATTAGCTGGGTGTGGTGGGATGTGCCTGTAATTCCAGCTTGGGAGGCTGAGGCACGAGAATTGCTTGAACCTGGGAGGCAGAGGTTGCAGTGAGCTGAGAACATGCCACTGTACTCCAACCTGGGTGACAGAGTGAGACTTTGTCTCAAAAAAAACCAAAAGACTCACAAGTAGTATCTAAAGATGAAAAATACCAGATATAATATCCAAAACTGGGGGAAAAACTGGATGTGATTAACAGCAGATTAGACACTGTGGAAAAAAAGATCATTAAATGTGAAGGTATAGCAGTAGAACCTATTCACATTGAAGCACAAAGAGAAAAAAAATACTAGAACAAAGTTAATAGAACATCAGTAACCTGTGGGACAATAGCAAGTTGCCTAATACATGTATAATTGGAGTTCCAGAAAAGTGGGGAAAGGTAGAAAGCAATTACTTTAGGAAATAGTGTCTGGGTGGCCGGGTGGGTGGCTCACACTTGTAATCCTAGCACTTTGGGGGCCGAGAGGGGTGCAGATCATTTGAGATCAGGAATTTGAGACCAGCCTGTCCAACATGGTGAAATCTCTTCTCTACTAAAAATACAAAAATTAGCTGGGCTTGGTGGCATGCGACTGTAATCTCAGCTTCTTGGGAGGCTGAAGCATGAGAATTGCTTGAGCCAGGGAGATGTAGGTTGCAGTAAGCCAAGATCATGCCACTACACTACAGCCTGGGCAACAGAGTGAGAACCTATCTCAAAAAAAAAAAAAAAAGAAAAAAATAAGAAAATAGTGGCTCATCATGGTGGCTCATGCCTGTAATCCCAGCACTTTGAGAGGCTGAGATGAGAGGATTTTTTGAGCACAGGAGTTCAAGACCAGCTTGGGCAATTTCCTTAAAAAAGAAAAAGAAACAGTGACTATAAATTTTCCAAATCTGATGATAACCATAAACTCTCAGATCCAAGAAACTCAGTGAACTCTAAATAGAATAAACAAATATAATCATACCTAGGTATGTAATAATAAAATTAGTGCCAGTCATGGTGGCTCATGCCTGTAATCCTAACACTTTGGGATGCTGAGGCCTGGAGTTTGAGACCAGCCTGGGCAACATAGTGATACCCCTATCTTTACAAAGATTAAAAAATAGAAATATAAAAAGTTAGCCAGGCATGGTGGCACTTGTCTGTAATCCCACTTACTTGGGAGGCTGAGGTGGGAGGATTGTTTGAGCTCAGGAGGTCAAGGCTGCGGTAAGCCATAATTGTATTCCACCCAGGGTGATAAAGCATGACGGGAGATCCTGTCTCAAAACAAAACAAAACCAAAAAAAGGCGAGGCACAGTGACTCACACTTGTAATCCCAGCATTTTGGGAGGTCAAGGTAGGATGATCGCTTGAGCCCAGAAATTGGAGACAAGCCTGGGCAACATAGTGAGACCCTGTCTCTCAAAAAAAAAAATTTAAAAAGGGGGGCATGGTGGCATGGGCCTGTAGTCCTATCTACTCAGGTGGCTAAGGTGGGAGGATTGCTTGAGCTTGGGAGGTTGAGGCTGCAGTGAACTGTGTTCGTGCCACTGCACTCCAGCATGGGAGACAGAGCAAGATCCTTTCTCAATAATAACACATAAACCAATGTTACAATTAGAAGAAATAAATTCTGGTGTTCGGTGTTTTTTTTTTTTTTTTTCTGAGATGGAGTTTCGCTCTTGTTGCCCATTGCTGGAGTGCAATGGCATAGTCTCGGCTCACTGCAACCTCCACCTCCTGGATTCAAGATGATTCTTTTCCCTCAGCCTCCCAAGTAGCTGGGATTACAGGCGCGTGCCACCACACCCAGCTAATTTTCATATTTTTAGTCCACCACGTTAGCCAGGCTGGTCTCAAACTCCTGATCTCAAATTCTGGTGTTCTATTGCACAGTGGGGTGAGTATAGTTAAGAGTAAAATATTATTACAAAATAGCTGGAAGAGGGGCTTTTGAATGTTCTTTCACAAGTGAGAAATGCAGGAGGTGATGGATACACTAACTGCTCTGATTGGATCATTATGCAACATGGATATGTATCAAAACATTGAATTGTGGCCCAGCACGGTGGCTCATGCTGGTAATTCCAGCACTTTGTGAGTCTGAGGTGGGTGGATCACCTGAGGTCAGGAGTTCAAGACTAGCCTGGCCAACATGGCGAAACCCCGTCTCTACTAAAAATACAAAAATTAGCTGGGTGTGGTGGTGCATGCCTGTAATTCCAGCTACTCGGGAGACTGAGGCGGGAGAATTGCTTGAACCTGGGAGGCAGAGGTTGCAGTGAGCTGAGATTGCGCCATCGCACTCCAGCCTGGGCAACAGAGCAAGACTCCATCTCAAAAAAAAAAAAAATATATCAAATTGTACCCCATAAGTACGTACAATTACAATATGACAGTTTAAAAAATAAATTTCAAAAAATTCTCTTGTACTTACCAGCTGAATAAAAAATAAATTTTTAAAAGGAGAGAAGTCTTAAAAACCAGTTATTTACCCCATCATTAAGTTATAATGAACTTTCTTATGGGAATTCTTTGATAAGGAAGCTCCTTTACGCTGAAGTTTTATTCTTTTCATACCTCTTTAGATAAATCAGTGCTTTGGGAGCATATGTCATATGACTCAATGGCAGTGTTCTAACTTGGATTCTAGCTCCACATTGTGCAAAGGCAAAAAACCAGAGAGTCAGTGTGGTAGTTAAGAACTTATGTTTTGCTGTTTGATTTCCTACATGCCAGTACTCCCTCCACTACCTGCAGTCTTCCTGACCTGGGGCAAGTTCCTTTTGTAAACTCTGTTTTCTAGGGGGATGGTGGTGGAAGAAGGATGGTGATTTGAGCCAGGCAGTAGCAGGTGGAGGTGGAGAAAAGTGGTCAAACCCTGAATGAACGTTAAAGATAGGACCAAAAGGATTTGATGAGAAATTGGAAGTAGAGCACGGGGAAAAAGAAAGACATCAGTGATGATGCCAAGGTTTTTTGGCCTGGGGAATTGGGATAGTGGAGTTGTTATTTGCTGAGTATGACTTTTCACAAAGGAATGTCAAGGCGTAAGTAGCAAAGTTCTTTCTTTTTTTTTTTAATTTTTCTTGATTGTGTTTGTTTTGTTTTTCATCTTTTGTGGGAGGTGGGTGGAGATGAAAGCAAGCACAGGGGTTGGCAGGCATACCCCTGGCACCTACCTGTGAGTTCATGATTACTAGTCTTAAATTCAGTCCTTTTTATTTTTACTTTTTTTTTTTTTTTTTTTTTTTTAGAGACAGTGTCTCACTCTGTCATCCAGGCTGGAGTGCAGTGGCACAATCACGGCTTACTGTAGCCTTGACCTCCCAGGCTCAGGTGATCCTTTCACTTCAGCCTCCTGAGTAGCTGGGACTACAGGCACATACCACCCTACCCAGCAATTTTTTTTTTTAATTTTTTGTAGCGACATAGTCTTACCATGTTGCCTAGGCTGGTCTCGAACTACTGAGCTGAAGCAACCTGTCTGCCTCAGCCTCCCAAAGTAAAGTACTGTAATTACAAGCTTGAGCCACTATGCGTGGCCAAATTCTGGCCTCTTGATGTTGCATGGCGTGGATGGGGAGGTGAAGTGTGATATTTTAGGAATTTGAGGATTTCTTCTTCGACCTTAGGCGTGACATTGGACAAATGACATCTGGGCTGAGACATTTTCTATTAATTCTGAATCCAAAAAACTCTTATCCCATTGTCTCATAGCTTCATTACACAGACCTGGCAGCCATGATCCTCTTTTTTTCCCCCTTAGTTGTCAAACATGGGTTCTCTGTCTTACCTCATTTGAGTCTTACCTCAGTCTTGAGAGTCTCAAATGTATATCATAGTTTTTAGACAAAATTCAACCTTATTTCAGTTAGTATTTCATTGTTATTTAAATATTTTAACAGGAAAACTGAGCAATGTTTCCCTTTACCTGTTAATCCTGTTATAATATTTTAGATAAAGTGTATTAGAAGGCACATTCTTCATTAATAGAATATTTATTCATGTGTTTATATGGTTCTTAACTAGGAATACCATATAGTCTATCTCCAACCCTTTGAGAAGGAAAAAAGATACTGACTAAACAGGACACCAGAAGAGCATGCCTAAACTAGGACTGTTCTGGGCAAATCAGAAGGCATGTTCACCTTATTCTTTTTATTCTTTCTTTTTTTTTTTTTTTTTTTGTGACGGAGTCTCACTCTGTCGCCCAGGCTGGAGTACAGTGACGCGATCTTGGCTCACTGCAACCTCCACCTCCTGGGTTCAAGCGATTCTCCTGCCTCAGCCTCCTGAGTAGTGGGACTACAGGCACATGCCACCATGCCTGGCTAATTTTTTGTGTTTTTAGTAGAGACGGGGGTTTCGTCGTGTTAGCCAGGATGGTCTTGAACTCCTGACCTCATGATCTGCCCACTTCGGCCTCCCAAAGTGCTGGGATTACAGGCATGACCCACTGCACCTGGCCTCACCCTATTCCTAAGGCCAGAAAACCAGCTAGAGTAAAGTTCACTTTCTGTTTGAGTGCTTGGACTTTATTGGGAGAAGGCAAATGCCCTGGAACAAGAGTGAAAGGGAGAAATTCCCGTTGTATTGCAAGCCAGAATAAGAGAGGCTCACCCGCACTGGCCTAAGGCATCTCAGTTGTTGATGAGAATGTGATTACAGATGTCTCACTTGAATACCAAAGACAATTGCAAAGGAAATTAAAAGTTATGCAAAGAGAGTTGAGAAGTCAGTTGTCTGCTCACAGGTTGGCTTTAGTGGCTATTACTTTGAGATACTAAATGAGCAATAGCTTTAAACTTCAACTGCTTTTGTTTCTGAGGAAAAAAATCATCTTATATCCTTTCATAAGTCGCATAAAATGTGGACATTTTCTATTATTTTAAAGAGTAAATTTAGGTACAAGCATTTACTAATTTTTTTTTTTTTTTTTTTTTTTTTTTTGAGATGGTGTCTCGCTTTGTTGCCCAGGCTGGAATGCAGTGGCGCAATCTTGGCTCACTGCAAGCTCCGCCTCCCTGGTTCACGCCATGCTCCTGCCTCAGCCTCCAGAGTAGCTGGGACTACAGGCGCCCGCCACCACGCCCAGCTAATTTTTTGTATTTTTAGTAGAGACGGGGTTTCACCATGTTAGCCAGGATGGTCTCGATCTCCTGACTTCGTGATCTGCCCGCCTCAGCCTCCCAAAGTGCTGGGATTGATTACAGGCGTGAGCCACTGCTCCCGGCCTGTAATTCTTTTTTTTTTTTTTTTTTTTTGAGACGGAGCCTTGCTCTGTTGCCCAGGCTGGAGTGCAGTGGCGTGATCTTGGTTCACTGCAAGCTCCGCCTCCCGGGTTCACGCCATTCTTCTGCCTCAGCCTCCCGAGTAGCTGGGACTACAGGGGCCCACCACCACGCTCGGCTAATTTTTTGTATTTTTTAGTGGAGACGGGGTTTCACCGTGTTAGTCAGGATGGTCTCGATCTCCTGACCTCGTGATCCGCCCTCCTCAGCCTCCCAGCATTTAGTAATTCTTAAAAGAGTTCGGCATGAATATACACAGTACGTGGGTTATTAGTACTGTGTTGTTAACACAAATGAACTATGATAGCAAATTGAATTTGGTTCAATCAGGTCAAAGAATAAAAGGATGATTTTCTTTAACCAACAAGGGATAGTATAATGAACCCCATGCAACTATCACTTAACTTCAATAATTTCAAGTTTGAGTAAGTTGCAGAGTAGTAATTTGAACCCACATCTCTCTTGTTCCAAATCCCTTGCTTTTAATTACAATCCCATGTGGCTTCTTTGTCATTTGATGCTATTGAGCAACTTTATGATTTTTTTTGGTGTTTTTGGTAAAATAGACATGAAAAGGCATTACTACAGGGAGTTTTTTCACTCCCTGGTAATAAGAGGGGAAAAGCACTCTCTTTTAATGATACATGTTTTGTAATAAGCATTTTTTTTAGTTGCAGTGTTCTGCAAAGACAAAACCTGCTGATACAGTTCATCCTGTTTTAGAAATCTTTGACCCATTCATCAGACTCTGACCACTCTAAAGATAAAGGATTATGGTTGTATTGGTTTTTCCGACTGAAGCGGCTTTCTGCAGATTGAGAAATTGTATAATTATTAACTGCGGTAATGGAGATGTACTTGCAAGTTTCATCTGGTATCTTAATGAGCTTTAACCCTCTGAATACACCTAAAACATATCCTAGAATTATTGAAATTAATCAGTTGTCCATAACTTTTCTGTCTGTATAATTTGGCTATCATACATATTTTGTTTCCCCCTGCCCTTGCCAGTTTCCATCCTCCTACTCACATACTCACAACTCCTATAAATTGGAGTATTTAGTAGCAGTAGCCTTTGGTATAAACACTTTTTAAAAATTTACTATTTTTTGATTTAATAGGGCCACTTTCTAGTCAAATTTTTTTTGGGGGTGGTGAGGAGGGTAGGGTAACAGTTCCACACTTACAAGGGTATTTGTTTAGACGAAGCTTGTTCAACCCACAGCCTGTGGGGCTGCATGTGGTCCAGGACGGCTTTAAATGCAACCCAACATGAGTTTGTAAACTTTCTTAAAACATTATGAGTTCTTTTTGAGATTTTTTTTCGAGACAGAGTCTCGCTCTGTTGTCCAGGCTGGAGTGCAGTGGCCCGATCTTGGCTCACTGCAACCTCCACCTCCTGGGTTCAAGCGATTCTCCTGCCTCAGCCTCTGGTGTAGCTGGGATTACAGGTGTGTGCCATCACTCCAAGCTAATTTTTGTATTTTTAGTAGAGACGGGGTTTTACCATGTTGGGCAGGCTGGTCTCAAACTCCTGACCTCAAGTGATCTGCCCACCTTGGCCTCCCAAAGTGCTGGGATTATAAGCTTGAGCCACCGCGCCCAGCCTGCGATTTTTTTTTTTTTAAGCTCATTAGCTATCATTAGTGTTAACTGTATTTTATGTGTGGCCCAAGACAATTCTCCTTCTTCCATTGTGGCCCAGGGAAGCCAAAAGATTAGACACCCCTGATTTAGACAAATAAGTGAAGGCACACTGAAATAACAATTATATATAATAACCTTGTGCCGCCCAGCGTGGTGGCTCATGCCTCTAATCTCAGCACTTTGGGAGGCCGAAGCAGGCGGATCAGCTGAGGTTGGGAGTTCGAGACCAGCCTGACTTACATGGAGAAACCCCATCTCTACTAAAAATACAAAATTAGCTGGGCATGGTGGTGCATGCCTGTAATCTCAGCTACTTGGGAGGCTGAGGCAGGAGAATCGCTTAAACCCAGGAGGCAGAGGTTGCAGTGAGCTGAGATCGTGCCATTGCACTCCAGCCTGGGTGACAAAAGCGAGACTCTGTCTCAAAAAAAAAAAAAAAGAAAAAAAAAAAAAAAACAAAAAAACCTTGTGTTTTATGGATCTCACATTCATCTCAGATATTTCTTGCCCTGAGAGATCCTCTGAATTCTCAGGATTGCTTCATGTTGATTCTACTGTGATCCTATCAAATATAGTAATGCTAGAAATATAGGTCTGAAGTTTGGGAGAGAGATTGGCTCAGTATAGATATGTAAAGCACAGTTGGATATGTGGTAGTTATATGAATGGGATTGGATGAAATTCTCTAGAGGTGTGTGGAATGGAAAGAGGTGGCCCAAGGAGGAAGAGAGAGAGAGAGAAATTGGAGAGGTAGAACAATTTAGGAAAGAGTAATGTTCTAGAAACTAAGGAGAGAGTTTCACAACTGCAGTGGTGAAGCACTGTGAGTTCTTATTTGGCAATTTGGACTTCATTATTGTCTTATCACAGATAGGAAATGAAAGGTTGCAGAACATTTAGGAGAAAATATTAAGTGAGGACACAGAAGCGGTAAATGTCGTATACACCTTTTAAACATTTTGGAGATTACCCATAGTAGGCCTGTCCCTTGGGTAAGGCAATTAGGGCAGCTTTCCTGGGCCCTATTTTGGGGTGGGGAATGACTCGGGGACTTTATTATATGACTTTTTTTCTGAACATTAATAAAATTCAGTTCCAAAATTTTGTGATTAACTGTAGTCCTAAGAGCCTACGAAAAATGCAGATAATGGGCAGTTCCACATTGGTTGAACTGCCCCAGGCTTCTCTCTTCTAGAGTTGCTGTCCCTTCCTTTTAATCCTGTAGTAGCTCCTATCACTTTTTTTTTTTTTTTGAGACAGAGTCACCCAGACTGGAGTGCAGTGGTGTGATCTCAGCTCACTGTAACTTCTGCCTCCTGGGTTCAAGCGATTCTCATGCCTCAGCCTCCTGAGTAGCTGGGATTACAGGTGCGTGCCACCACACCTGGCTAATTTTCGTATTTTTACAGGATTTTACCATGTTGCCTAGGCTAGTCTTGAACTCCTGACCTCAGGTGATCCACTTGCCTCAGCCTCCCGAAGTTCTGGGATTACAGGCGTGAGCCAAGGCTCCTGGCCTCCTGTCACTTTTTATAATTGTCAGTTTGTTTTTCCTCTCAGAAATTAAGCTCCTTAAAGCTCTCTATTATTGTTTTGAATTCCCAGGGCCTAGCATAATGCCCAGCACGTAATGTTGAATGTTTGTTACGTAAGTGATTGAAGGAATAATCCAATACATATCTGTCTTAAGTACAAAAGAATTCCAATATGGTGGTCTCACAGAGTCAAAAAAGCGGAATGTTTCAGAAAAGAGGGATTGATAAACAGTTTCAAATGGTAGTAAAAGTATTGAAAACTGACCTTTGGATTTGGCTTCTAGAAGGTCATTGGTTTCCATAGTGAAAACTTTTATAGCAAAATGGTTGGAGTAGAAGTGGTTGAAGATTAAAGGAGAAATGAGATGTAAGAAACAACAAACAAGTTTGTGGGGGGGCGGGGGTTGGTTTTATTTTTAAAGATTTGTAGCTGAGCGTGACAGTATGTATCTGTAGTCCCAGCTATTTGGGAGGCTGTGGCTGGATGATAGCTTGAGCCCAGCAGCTTGAGGCTGCAGTGAGCCATGATTGCACCATTGCACTCCAGCCTGGGTGACAGAGAGAGACCCTAACTCAAAAAATAAAATAAAATAAAGATTTGAAACTAAAGGGAAGAAACCATTGGAGAAGAAAGCCAAAGATCTGACGGAGGAGAATTCATTATCATGGTAATGTTATGCATTTGATTTGCATATATCTAAGTATTCCCACCAACTTTTTTTTTTTTTTTTTTTCTGAGGCAGAGTCTCACTCTGTCACCCAGGCTGGAGTGCTGGAGTGCAGTGGCATGATCTTGGCTCACTGCAACCTCCCGGGTTCAAGCGATTCTCCTGCCTCAGCCTCCCTAGTAGCTGAGACTACAGGCTTGTGCCATCATGCCCTGGTAATTTTTGTGTTTTTAGTAGAGATGAAGTTTCGCCATGTTGGCCAGGCTGGTCTCGGACTCCTGACCTCAGGTGATCCTCCCACTTCGGCCTCTCAAAGTGCGGGGATTACAGGCGTGAGCCACCATGCCAGGCCCCAACCAACATTTCAAGATAATATATTTCTCCTTCCACTTGGGTTTGATATATTAATGTATTTTGAACTTGAAGGCTTTTGCTGTGCTATTTGGGGCCCCTAGTGGTAAATCTAATAATGACATGCAATAGAACAGCTAATATACCAGTTATTCCTTATGAAGGTTATTCTTTCTATGAGGATTAAATGAGGTTGGAATATGTAGTTATAGCAATAGTAGTGATTCTTAATCATTTTTTTAAAGAGAGGGTCTCGCCAGGCACGGTGGCTCACACCTGTAATCCCAACACTTTGGGAGGCCAAGGTGGGTGGATCACTTGAGGTCAGGAGTTTGCGACCAGCCTGGCCAACATGGTGACACCCCATCTCTACTAAAAAAACTAAAATTAGCTGGGCGTGGTGGTAGATGGCTGTAATCTCAGCTACTCGGTAGGTTGAGATAGGAGAATTGCTTGAACCTGGGAGACAGGAGGTTGCAGTGAGCTGAGATCACGTCATTGCACTCCAGACTGGGTGACAAGAGCAAAACTCTGTCTCTAAATAAATAAATAAATAAATAAATAAAAGGTCTCACTTTGTTACTCAGACTGAAGTGCAGTGGTGTGATCATGGCTCACTGCAATGTCCGCCTCTCAGGCTCAAGTAATCCTCCCACCTCAGCCTCCCTAGTAGCTGGGACTATAGGTGTTCCACTACTATGTCCAGCTAATTTTAAGAAATTTTTTAGTTTTTAAATATTTTTGTAGAGATGGTGGTCTTACTATGTTGTCCAAGCTGGCCTCGAACTCCTGGTCTCAAGTGATCCTCCCACCTCGGCCTCCCAAAGTGCTGGGATTACCGGTGTGAGCCACCATGGCTGGCCAAAAATGAGTAATTTTTTTTTTTTTTTTTTTTTGAGATGGAGTCTCGCTTTGTCGCCCAGGCTGGAGTGCAGTGGCGAGATCTTGGCTCACTGCAACCTCCTCCTCCTGAGTTCAAGCGCTTCTCTTGCCTCAGACTCCCAAGTAACTGAGACTTTAGGCACGGGCCATCACAGCTGGCTAATTTTTGTATTTTTAGTAGAGATGGGGTTTTGCCATCTTGGCCTGGCTGGTCTTGAACTCCTGACCTCAAGTGATCCACCCCCTTGGCCTCCCAAAGTGCTGCGATTACAGGCATGAACCACTGTGCTCTGCCCCAAAATGAGTAATTTAAAGGTGACTGTAATATAGTTAAACAAATGCCTCTTTTCCCATTCTTTACTAACTTGTTATTTAAATGGGGCAAGTTTTTACAACATAAGAAATAAACAGGCCAGGCGCGGTGGCTCACGCCTGTAATCCCAGCACTTTGACAAGCAGAGGCGAGTGGATTTCTTGAGGTCAGGAGTTTGAGACCAGCCTGGCCGACATGGTGAAACCCCGTCTCTACTAAAAGTACAAAAATTAGCCGGGCGTGGTGGCACAGACTGTAATCCCAGCTAATCAGGGGGCTGAAGCAGGAGAATTGGTTGAACCTGGGAGGCGGACGTTGCAGTGAGCCTAGATGGCAACACTGCAGTCCAGCCTGGGCAACAGAGCAAGACTCCATCTCAAATGAAACAAACATACTAAAAACCTATTTACTTGTTTGATGTGAGTGTGCTTAGCTTTATTCCCCTTAAAGAGAGTCTTTTTTTGAGATGGAGTCTCACTCTGTTGCCCAGGCTAGAGTGCAGTGGTGCAATCTAGGCTCACTGCAACCTCCGCCTCCTGGGTTCAAGCGATTCTTCTGCCTCAGCCTTCAAGTGGCTGGGACTACAGGCGTGTGCTACCACGCCCAGCTAATTTTTTGTTTTTAGTATAGACGGCGTTTCACGCTGTTAGGCAGGATGGTCTCAATCTCCTGACCTCGTGATCCACCCGCCTCGGCCTCCCAAAGAGCTGGGATTACAGGTGTGAGCCACTGCGCCCGGCCTAAAGTGAGTCTTTAGGTGAAAAATTTTTGTGAATATTGTGATTTCTCCTTAATAATTTCTTGTGTATTTATGAATTTTATATAATTAAATGGCATATCAAAAAAATCACCTATGTTAATTATGTTTTTGACTCAGTTATATTTTCTTTTGGTACATTATTAAGTTAATATCCATATGCAAAAATATGCTGACAATATATTAATTTTGGATTTTTCATTTTTATCAGAAATCATGAGTGGAGGATCTCAAGTCCACATTTTTTGGGGTGCTCCAATTGCTCCACTGAAAATCACAGTATCAGAAGACACAGCTTCTTTAATGTCTGTTGCTGACCCCTGGAAAAAAATTCAGCTTTTATACAGTCAACATTCTTTATATCTGAAGGATGAAAAACAGCACAAAAATCTTGAAAACTATAAAGTCCCAGAATCTATTGGTTCTCCAGATCTTAGTGGTCATTTCTTAGCAAACTGTATGAATAGACATGTTCATGTGAAAGATGACTTTGTACGTTCTGTTTCTGAAACACAGAATATAGAATCCCAGAAGATTCACTCCTCTAGACTGAGTGATATAACTAGCTCTAATATGCAAATATGTGGATTTAAAAGCACAGTTCCGCATTTCACCGAAGAAGAAAAGTATCAAAAGCTTCTCAGTGAAAATAAAATTAGAGATGAACAGCCTAAACATCAGCCAGATATATGTGGTAAGAACTTTAACACAAATTTGTTTCAGTTGGGCCATAAATGTGCAGCTGTGTTGGATTTGGTTTGTAGTACTGAAAAAATTAATATAGGGCCTGAAGTGGTACAAAGAGAGTGTGTGCCAACAGAATATCATGAAATACAAAACCAGTGTTTGGGATTATTTTCCTCGAACGCAGTAGATAAGTCAAGGTCTGAAGCAGCAGTTAGGAAGGTCTCAGACCTTAAAATATCAACTGATACAGAATTTCTCAGTATAATTACCTCCAGCCAGGTTGCTTTTTTAGCTCAAAAGAAAGATAAAAGGCGGAGTCCTGTAAATAAAGGGAATGTAAACATGGAGACTGAACCAAAGGCAAGTTACGGGGAGATAAGAATACCTGAAGAGAATTCGATTCAGCTTGATGGTTTTACAGAAGCATATGAAAGTGGACAAAACCAAGCATATTCCCTTGAACTTTTTAGTCCTGTTTGTCCTAAAACAGAAAATAGCCGCATTCACATAAACTCTGATAAAGGTCTTGAAGAACATACAGGATCTCAAGAACTTTTCAGTTCTGAAGATGAACTGCCACCAAATGAGATACGTATTGAGTTGTGTAGCTCAGGAATACTGTGTTCCCAACTAAATACCTTCCACAAAAGTGCTATTAAAAGAAGCTGTACCTCTGAAGATAAAGTGGGCCAGTCTGAAGCTCTATCTAGAGTCCTTCAAGTAGCTAAGAAAATGAAGTTGATTTCTAATGGAGGAGATTCTGCTGTAGAAATGGATCGGAGAAATGTGTCTGAATTTAAGAGTATTAAAAAAACATCATTAATAAAAAACTGTGATTCTAAAAGCCAGAAGTATAATTGTTTAGTCATGGTGCTATCTCCATGCCATGTGAAGGAAATAAACATAAAATTCGGACCAAATTCTGGCTCTAAAGTGCCTTTAGCAACAGTTACAGTAATTGATCAATCAGAAACTAAGAAGAAGGTTTTTCTGTGGAGGACTGCAGCATTTTGGGCATTTACAGTGTTTCTTGGAGATATAATTTTACTCACAGGTGAGGTCATTATGGTATAGTGGTAGCTTATTTTATAAAGCTAAGTTTTGTTTGTTTTTGTTTTTCTCCCACTTAGTCTTTGAAGACTCTTTAGTCATTTGCCTCTTCTGAGCGCAGCATAATTGATCCCTTTATCGCATCTGCATTGTTCTCCTTTCCATTGTCCACTCTCCTGCCCATTGCCACTTCTGGGCCTCTGTTCTATCCTTCTCAGCTCTGTCCCTTCTTTCCACTTATCCCCTCCTTTAATAAGCCTTCCCTAGTCAGGTGGAGTGGGTCACACTTGTAATCCCAGCACTTTGGGAGGCTGAGGCAGGAAGATTGCTTGAGGCCAGGAATTTGAGACCAGCCTTGGCAACACAGAACCCGTCTCTACAAAAAATAAATTAAGGTTTGCGTGCCTGTAGTCCCAGCTACCCAGGAGGCTGACGCGAGAGGATTGCTTGAGCCCAGGAGGTTGAGGCTGCAGTGAGCTTTGATTGGGCCACTGCACTCCAGCCCGAGCAACAGAGTTAGACCTTTCTGCTTCTTTACCTAATGTCTAATAATGCTGTGCACATTGTATTTTTACTGTGGGAACAGTTATTGATTTCTATTGCCTTATTATCAAAATTATATTAATTACACTTGGAAATATGGAAAGGAAAAAACTGGTATTATACCAACTTCATATAACCACCAATAGAGTTCTAGAGTGTTGCCTTCCAGTTATTTTCTCTGTTCTCCTTAAAATGTGTGTGCATGTGTGTATATATCACACATAGAAGCTCATATTTATTGGGAGCTTAGTTTGTGAGACCCTGTTTTAGATTTTACATGCATATTTCATTACAACAAGTATATGAGGAAGGTACTGATTTTTATCCCTACTTTTCAGTTGAGGAAGCTGAAGCCCAGAGAAGTAAAGTAACTTGTCCAATGTCATACATCTAGGAAGTGGCAAAGCTATAGTTTCTCCTAGACTCCAGAATTTATACTCTTACTATATAGTTGTAACCATAAAGAACATTTTGTTTTTTTAATTTTTAATTTATTTATTTTTAAGAGACAGAGTCTTGCTATGTTGCCAAGTGCAGTGGGTACTCACGGGCACAATCCCATTGCTGATCAGCATGAGAATTTTTAAATTGTTATTTTTAATTTTTTGTTTGTTTGTTTAATAGGGACAGGGTCTCACTGCATTACCCAGGCTGATCTCCAACTCCTGGGCTCAATTGATCCTCCTGCCGCAGCCTCCCGAAGTGCTAGGATTACAGGCGTGAGCCACCGTGCCCATGGTATTTTTAACATGCCCTTGTTTCCAACCTGGACCAGTTCACCCCTCCTTAGGGAACCTGTGGTCCTCCACTCCCAGGAGGTCACTATATTGATGGCAAGCTTAGTGCAGACACCTGATCGGCTACAACTCTGAACTCCTGGGCTCAAGTGAGCCTCCTGCCTCAGTCTCCCAAGTAGCCAGGACTACAGGCACGCATGCCGCTGCACCCAGAGAGAATATTTAATATTTTTTTTTTTTTTTTTGAGACAGTCTTGCTCTGTCACCCAGGCTGGAGCGCAGTGGCACAATCTTGACTCACTGCAACCTCCGCCTCCTGGGTGCAGGTGATTCTCCTGCCTCAGCCTCTCGAGTAGCTGAGATTACAGGTGTAAGCCACCATGCCTGGCTAATTTTTGTATTTTTAGTAGAGACGGGGTTTCACCATGTTGGCCGGGCTGGTTTCGAACTCCTGTCCTCAGGTGATCCGCCCACCTTGTCCTCCCAAAATGCTAGGATTACAAGTGTGAGCCACCGTGCCTGGCCAGAATATGTTTTCACCGAACACATCTAACATTGTGTTACATGTTCTTTGTTGATTTAAAATTGACACATGGTGTATTAGAGCAGGAGGAAGTTGATTAAGCTTAATAAAATATCTAAAGAAAGAATGTGATACAGAGGAGGTATTTAGAAGAAGAAAACTTCGAAGCAATATTGATAATCCTACCAAATAGTTTACAGGAGGAATGAGAACCTTAGCTAATGTACCTTGGTGTTCCTGTAGGATTGTCAAGTACAATCTTTTTTGTTTTTTTGAGACGGAGTCTGGCTCTGGCACCCAGGCTGGAGTGCAGGGGCGCGATGTCTGCTCACTGCAAGCTCCGCCTCCCGGGTTCACGCCATTTTCCTGCCTCAGCCTCCTGAATAGCTGGGACTACAGGCGCCTGCCACCGCGCGCGGCTAATTTTTTTGTATTTTTAGTAGAGACAGGGTTTCACTGTGTTAGCCAGGATGGTCTCGATATCCTCACCTCGTGATCCGCCCGCCTCAGCCTCCCAAAGTGCTGGGATTACAGGCGTGAGCCACCGCACCCGGCCGAGTACAATCTTTTATAAAGAGGTAAACACAAGATTGTAATGAACAGGCTTAGCATAGCCACATCCCACTGGCAGTATTAGCTAATATTATTTATATGTGATTATATTATTGGAGATTCAATTCACCTAACTCCCTCTGTTCTGATTCAGTGCTTGCTGAATACCTCTTTGCTTGTGATTTGGCTTTCTAGTTGTAGAGCTGCCCACAGCATGAGAACAGGCTGAAATACTGTTTTTTTGGGCAATTAATGCCTCATTGTAAATGAAAAAAAAATTTTTTTTTCTTTAATTTGTTTCATTAGTTGATTTAGTATGAGCTTATGTTGCAGAGCTGAAATCTAGTTTTGGAGTGTTAACAAAATTAAGTTTCCCAGACTGTAAAAGAGGGCTGGATCCTGGACCATGGTCATTTTACCGAGGCAATTAATGTCAGCAGGGACCTCTCAGGGGCCTTTTCCTTTTTCCTAGGTAGGTGTAAACTCAACTCTGCAATCTCTGTATTTTTTCCTAACATCTCTATAGTTGTTAACAACGAGGTAACATTCTCTCTGGTGGCTGAAATGCAATTTACTTAACCATTTTCCTATTATAAGACATTTAGATGATTTCTATGAACATTTTTTTTAAAAATCAGATTTTTTTGTCTTTTTAAGAAAAAGAGGACCTAGTTCACTTATTTCTGAATAAGTTTCTTTTGTGTGGAACAGATGGAAATGTTGGGAAAAAAAAGAAATCTACACTTTTCTGTTGTCCTAATGAGGCAGTGAACTTAGTTGGATAGCCTGGGTAGTTCATACTACCTATTGATATATACCCCCAAACAGAAATCTTCCTTTTTTTTTTTTTTTTTGAGATGGAGTCTTGCTCTGTTGCCCAGGCTGGAGTGCAGTGGCGCGATCTCGGCTCACTGCAACCTCTGCCTCCTGGGTTCAAGTGATTCTCCTGCCTCAGCCTCCCAAGTAGCTGGGACTACAGGAGCCCGCCACCACGCCTGACTAATTTTTGTATTTTTAGTAGAGACAGGGTTTCACCATATTGGCCGGGCTGGTCTCGAACTCCTGACCTTGTGATCTGCCCACCTCGGCCTCCCAAAGTTCTGGGATTACAGGCGTGAGCCATCGCGCCCGGCCCAAACTGAAAAATTTTAAGTAACAGATGTATTCCAGACCTTGTTGAATACCAACACAGCAGACAGTTTGCTATTATAACTTCTAGCAATAGAATGAAGAGATGCCAAAAATAAGGATTACCTAAGGGAGACTACTGACTAGAATTAGAAGAAGATGGGAGGCTTAACATTGGGAAACAACAGTGTTTAAAGGACAAACAGAATAAGGACTAGGAGCTGGGGCATGTCAGTGAGAGGGTAGGAAGGAGCCAGGAGGCCAGGGCGGGCTACCCATCCCCTCCATGCACCACTAGTGATTACCATGTCACTAATCCAACATATGCTTCACAGTCCTAGCTTTCAGAATGCTCTCCTTGAAATTTCTCGTCTGTTCCTTTTTTCTGAAGAACATGCATCCTGAATGTTGGATCATGAAAAGTCTTGAATGCTGTACTAGCTCTTCCTGGCTAGGCAGTGGGGAACCACTGTTTTTTAGTAAGTCACCTGAACTCATTAATGCTCTGATATATCACTCGCCTGAACTCATTAATGCTCTGATGAATGACTCATTAGCATTGTAAGAAATGGGTTGCAGGCGGGACAAGCACCTGTTGGGAGGGAAAGGAATGTGTAATGTAAAACAGTAGTAGTGGTGGGGCATGGGCACATTTAAGCAGCAGAGGGGTAGGTGGGGGCTGGTGGCAAGGAGTGGGAAGGGAGAGGCAAGATGACTTCAGATGTTAGTTTACTTGATTAGCAGCATAGCGTCAACAAATGAGTTGGGCGCTATGAAAGGAAAAGCAGGTTTGGACATTGCTGAGTTTGGGGAGCCAATGGAATATCCAGGTGGGAATTTCCATTAGGCAGTTGTAGGTAAAAGGTTCAAAAGCTGAGGAAAGGGTCTGGAATCTAAATCTGTAAGTAATCACTTGGAATTTATACATCCTTGGTTTTCTTTCCTATTATCTCTACATTATTTCACTATTGTTAATATATGTTTATACCTCTGACACTGTATGCTGATTAGATCCTGCCTTAGAGATAGCTCCCTTCCCCTCTTTCTCTTTACAGCTCACACGTTTTGCTCTACCTACAATTGTTTCTACCTGTTGGTATGTTTAGTTCTACCTGATTCTACTCTATCCGTCTTAGATATACAGCTCTCTCTTTCCAATTGGAAAATGTTCCCTACCTCCAAAGTCTTTCACTTTTAACTTATGTGGAAGATAATTATAGTGCTATTTAGGGAAAAATAATCAAGTGTGTTAAGAATGCCTTATATTCAGATATATTTATAGTAGAAGGGACCAGTGCATACTGAATATTATTACTCTCCTAGGCACTACGGCTTTGGAACCACTACTTTGCCTTCTGGTCCTAAAAAAAATTATTTTTAATGTATCAGAAATATACATGATAACATTTTCCTTATGTAAATAAAAACTATTAAGCCTTTTTTATATAGAGCAGTGGACTTCCATACTGCTATCATTTGAATATAAAGAAGCAATTTTGTTAATTTACCTAGATTTAGATTTTAGATTTGCTGTTTTCTTATTTCGTGCCTTTAGGCAGGTTATTTAACCTATTTGATCTCTACTTGCTTGGTATATGGGAGGCATGCATAGTATTTTGTTGTGACTAGTAGGTTAACCACATTGTGAAGGAATTTATGGCATGATCAGAACGTTTTTTCTCTCTCTAGATGTTGTTATTCATGAGGACCAATGGATTGGCGAGACAGTACTACAATCAACATTTAGCAGTCAGTTATTAAATCTTGGGAGTTATTCATCTATTCAGCCTGAAGAATGTAAGGCACATTTTAAATGAAGTAATGTAGTAGTGTTTAAAGTATAAAAACATACTAGGAAAGATTAGGGTTAAAATGGTTCTTTTACAAAATGTTTTCTAAACAGTTGGAGAGTATTGGTTTCTTTTCATTAGTAAGAATGAAAATAGAATTTTAAGAAATGAACTTGTACATTGTAAATCACATTTATTTTAAGAAGTATTGGGTCTCATGTTTCGTTTTCTTAGGCCATCAGTATAGTGGTGGTTCTTCACCTTTTAGGGAGTCAGAGACCTCTTTGAGAATCTATAGACCATTTCTCCAGAAAACTGGACTTATGTAGATAGGCACAAAATTTTGCTTATAATTCTAAAGCATTCCACGGACCTCTGAAGTTCTTCTGTGGAACTTCTGAGCCTCTGATTAAGAATCCTTGAGGTAATAAAAATGTATTGGTCTCGTATTCAGACAGCTGTGGTTTGAATCCTTATTCTCCTGTCTACCACTGCTAAGAAAAGCTATCTTTCTTCTTTAATGTCCAGTTTTCTCTTCTTTAAAAGAAGCTGTTTAATGAGGAAACTAGCAGCTATCTCCTCCTCTAGGAAATAAAATAACATAAAAAAAAGAAAGAAAACAAAGTAAGGGAAACAGTATAAACTTGTGGTTATGGTCACTGGACTCAGATAGACCAGGATTTGAATACTGGCCCTCTTACTTCCAGTCTTTGTCTTTAGGCAATGTATTTCACTTCACTATACTTTTGTCTCCTTTTCTGTGAAATGGAGATAAAAATACATATATACCTTATAGGGTTGTTATGAAGATTAAGTGAGAAAATGAATATAAGATGTTGAACCTGCACATAATGTAGTAGTAACATAGTAATATTAGAGGGAGAAATAATAAGCTAGCAAAATATATTTGATAAAATGCTGAAATATCATACAAGAAAATAGCTAGAGAAATATACTGATTATACAAGAAGATAACTGGAATAATAGGAAAGTTATAGGATATATATATGGAAGATAGAGCATGGAATTCCAATCTTTGAATTCTTAAAGAAAGGCAGAGCAAGTAGAAGGGAAGAGCAACAATTAGAATAACAAGAACTGTGTTTGGAATGGGCAAGGTTTCATTATATACTAGGGTGGCCCATCAGCAGAAAACCAACTCTGACATATTTCATAGACAACTAAAATAGAGTTCTTCATCTATCCAATATATATTTATTATGTGTTGACATTGTTTCAGGCACTGTGTTTACTGTACACTGGGGGTACAATGGTGCCTGTCCTCCTGGAGCTTATGTTCTCATGTGGAAGACAGACCAAAAAAAATGAATGAAACAGACATATAAGTAAAATATGTGCAGGTGATAATGAGTGCTATGAAGGAAACTAACAAAGGGTTAAGATACAGAATGCCGTGGTTCTAGTTGAGAAGGATTGATCATGGAGTAGAATCAGGGTTAGGAAGTTGTTACAATAGCTGCAGTTGAGAGATAATGGGAGGCCAGTGGAGCTAAAGAGCTGAGATATATTTGTAAATAGAGTTAATAGGATTTTCTGATGATGTGGGTCTGGGGATCAGGGAAGAGGGACAATCTACTGCTACTGAATTACTGGTTTAAGTAACTAGGTAGCCTTTATTGGGAAAGACTGAGAGGGAACTGGTTTGTGGGGAAAAGGACTATGTTTCAAGGCATGTTAAGTTTTAGATATCTTTGAGATATTCAAGTGGAAATGTCATATAAGAACTGGAAACAAAGTTCAGGACTCAGAAGACAGGTTTAAAATTAAGAGGCAAATTTTAGAGTTATTAGCATACAGATAATATTTCAAATTTAAAAGTTTTTTAAATAATAAATATCTGTATAATTATAGAATCACAGGGGATTGCAAAAATAATACATAAAGTCCCATGAACTCTTCTTCTAGCTTCTCCCAATGGTGATATCTTATATAACTTTAGTACAATATCAACAACAGGAAATCAACGTTTGTATAATACTGTTAACTAGTAATATACTAGGATACTTTCCCTTTCAGTATCAATAAATATAGTATCAGCCTGGCACAGTGGCTTATGCCTGTAATCCCAGCACTTTGGGTGGCTGAGGCAGGAGGATTACTTGGGCCCAGGAGCTCGACACCAGCCTGGATGATATGGTGAAACCTCATCTCTACTAAAAATACGGAAAAATTAGCCAGGTGTAGTGGTGCACACCTGTAGTTACAGCTACTAGGGAGGCTTAAGTGGGAAAGAAAGTTGAGGCTGCAGTGAGCCATGATTGTACCACAGCACTTCAGCCTGGGTGACCGGAGTCAGACCTTGTCTCAAAAAAATTTTTTTTCTTAAATAAATATAGCATCAATACAGCATTATAATATGATTAATACTATATCAATAAAATAGATACTTAGTCCTAATGCCAATGTCTTATTTAATAGAAAAGCACTCGAGGCATTGTCATTAAAACCAGGAAAAAGATAAGGATGTCCACTATCTCTGCAACTATTCATCTTATACTAGAATTATCAGCTAATGCACTTAGACAAGAAGAGGCATCTGGTCTGGTGCGGTGGCTCACGCCTGTAATCCCAGCACTTTGGGAGGCCAAGGTGGGCGGATCACTTGAGGCCAGGAGTTTGGGACCAGCCTGGCCAACATAGCAAAACCCTGTCTGTACTAAAAAGATGAAAAATTAGCCAGGTGTGGTGGTGCATGCCTGTGGTCCCAGCTACTCAGGAGGCTGAGGCATGAGAATTGCCTGAACCTGGGAGGTGGAGGTTGCAGTGAGCACCACTACACTGCACTGCAGCCTGAGCGACAGAGTGAGATTCGGTCTCCAAAAAAAAAAAAAGAAAGAAGAGGCATTTGAATGGATAAAGAAGAATGAAAATTATTTCTATTTACAAATGCTCTGATAACATACCTGAAAACTCCAGGGAATCAAAGTTAAAACAAATTTAAATAATAAGATAATTCAGTGATATAACAGAATGCAAAATTAGTGTTAAAAAATATCATTAGGCTGAGTGCAGTGGTTTGCGTCTGTAATTCTAGCCCTTTGGGAGATGAAAGTGGGTGGACAGCTTGAGCCCAGGAATTCAAGACCAGCCTGGGCTACAAAAAAGAAAAAGAAAAAGAAAAAAAAGCTGGGTGTGGTGGCACCCACCTGTGGTCCCAGCTGTTTGGGAGGCTGAGGTAAAAGGATTGCTTGAGCCCAGGCTGGGGGATGAGGTTGCAGTGAGCTGTGATTGCACCACTGTACTCCAGCCTGGGCAACAGAGCAAGGCCCTGTCTCAAAAAAAAATAATAATAGTAATTAGACTTAATATACACAAATAATAAACAGAGGGCATAATGATAGTGAAAAACTCATTTACTATAGTAATAAAGAAGATAGTTCAAAATACAGTTAACAAGAAATATGCAAAGCCTATATGAGGAAAAAATTTAAACACTCCAGAAAGAAATGAAGACATGAAGAAATGGAAAGACATTCCCTGTTCTTGGATAGGATGACTCAACATTATAATGATGTCAGTTCTTCCTAAGTTAATATGTAAATTCAATGTAGTTCCAATGAAAATATATATGTTATGGCATATAAAAGTTGATACTAAAGCTCATAGGGGAAAACAGACATGCAAGAATAGCTAGGAAAAGACTGACAAAGGAAAACTACAGAGGAGGGGAACTAGCTTTACCAGATGTTAAAACATACTATAAAGCCTCTGTAATTAAAACAGTGAAGTACTGATGCATGAATAGACAAGTAGACCAGTGGAACAGAGTAAGAAGATTAGAATTAGACCCACCTACATATAGCAATTTAATATATGACAAAGATAGTATCTGGAATCAGTGAGATAAAAGCTAACTTCTTAATAAATGGTGCTGAGACAACTGGGTAGCCATTTGGAAAAAAGGGAAAATTGGACACATATCTCACAACAAACAGTAATAAACACCATATGGATTAATAGTCTAAATGTAAAAAATAAAATCATGCAACAACAAGAAAGAAACCTGAATGAATCCTCTGTAATCTTGGTGTAGGGAAAGGCTTTTTCTTAATATTACTCAGAATCCAGGGGCAGTAGAAGATAAACTGATACATTTTACTATAGAAAAATAAATTTTGCATAACCAAAACACTATAAACAAAGTCAAAAGACAACTGACAAACTTGGAGAAAATATTTGTAACATACAACAAAAGGCTAATATCCCTAATATATAAAGAACTTTTAAACCCTGAGTGACAAAGGCTGGGTGTGGTTGTTCACACTGGTAATCATAGCATTTTGGAAAGCTGAGGTGGGAGAATCACTTGAGCTCAGGAGTTTGAGTCCAGCCTGGGCAACATAGTGAGACCCTGTCTCTACAAAAAGTCAAAAAATCAGCCCGGTGTGGTGGTGCATGCCTATGGTCCCAGCTACGTTGGAGGCTGAGGCAGGAGGATTGTTTGAGCCCAGGAGGTCGAGGCTGCAGTGAGCTGTATTCATGCCACTGCACTCTAGCCTGGCAAAAGGGAAAATGTGAAAAAGAGATGAACAGTCAGTTTTCAAAAAAAGATATAAAAATGGCTATCAAATATAACTTATTAGAGAAATTCAAATTAAAACTACATGGAGATACCATTTCTCACCTATCAGATTGGCAAAATTAAAAAAAAGCACATTCTGTTGGCGCAACTGTGAGGTAATGTGCCCTCTTAATACATTGGTGGTAGGAATGCAAATTGCTACAACCCTTGTGAAGGGATATTTGGCAATATCTAACAAAATTACATATGTACTTAGCTTTCAACCTAGCAATCCCACTTCTAGGAATCTACCCTGAAGCTACACCTCCAACAATATGAAAATACATATCACAAGGTTATTCATTGCAGTATTGTTTATAATTGCAAAATATATAGGAGAATGATTCACTAAGTTATGCTACATTCACATAGTGGAACACTATGTACTATGCAGCTGTACAAAAAGAATGAAAAAGATCTCTATGAACTGATATGGAGTGATTCCCAGGACATACTGTTATGTGAAAACATAAACCCCCCAAAACTGTATGTAGTATGCTGTCCTTCCTGTACGAAGGAATGGAGGTATAAGAAAATACCTCGGTTTATTTGTGGAAAGAAAATGCAGGAAGGATAAACCAGAAACTAAAGAGATTGGTCACCTACAGGGGGCACATAGGAGAGGGGTGGAAGAAAGTGGGGAATGGGAACAGGATAGCAGGGGTCAGGAGGAAGTGACACTAACAAATGAATGTAATATTGTTACAAGTGAACCTAATATTGTTACAAATGAATAAAATAACTACACAGAAGCGGGTGGGGAAGAAAAGAACAAACCTAAGTAGCTGTGGAAAAGAGTATATTGACTGGATTCTATAAGGCTAATGACAGAAAGGACTGTACATAAATGCTGCAATCTAGTTAGAAATATGTTTCTCAAAGGGGAATGGCTTAGCAATAACCTTATGTACATACTAGAATGAACAAATGAGTACATAGATTGTAGATAAGGAAAGCTGGATTTCTCACTGTTGGAGAAAGAAATTATAAACAAGGGAAGGTTAAAACGAACCAGAGGTATTGTTATAAACTGAGGATTTTTAATATAGATAAATGGATACAGAAATATAGGCATGTGTATATGGGTGGGATAGTACACATACATAAACATCTCCTAGTTCTGTCCATTGAGCGAGCACAGCACAGATGCAGTTACTCCCCAGTAATAATGAGCATACCTGGTGCCCAGATCTTCATCTGTAAACATTTTCTTTTCTTTTCTTTTCTTTTCTTTTTTTTTTTTTTGAGATGGACTCTTGTTCTGTCACCCAGGCTGGAGTGCAGTGGCGTGATCTTAGCTCACTGCAACCTCTGCCTCCTGGGTTCGAGCAATTCTCCTGCTTCAGCCTCCCAAGTAGCTGGGACTACAGGTACGTGCCACCACGCCCAGATAATTTTTGTATTTTTAGTAGAGATGGGGTTTCACCATGTTGGCCAGGCTGGTCTTGAACTCCTAACCTCAGGTGATCTGCCCACTTTGGCCTCCCAAAGTGCTGAGATTGCAGGTGTGAGCCACTGTGCCTGGCCTCTCTTTTTTTTTGAGACAGGGTCTGGCTCTGTTGCCCAGTCTAGAGTACAGTGGTGTGATCTCGGCTTACTCCAACTTCTGCCTCCTGGGCTCAAGCCAGCCTCCCACTTCAGCCTTCCAAGTAGCCGGTACCATAGCTGTGCACTACCACGCCTGGCTAATTTTTGTATTTCTTGTAGAGACTGGATTTCACCATGTTGCTCTGGCTGGTCTCGGACTCCTGGGCTTCAGCAGTCCACCCATCTTGGCCTCCCAAAATGCTGGGATTACAGGTGTGAGCCATTGTGCCTGGCCAACATAGTTCTCTAATGAAAGGAAACAGCTCTGCTAAAAGTGGTTGATTACAGGACTGGGTCAGGGCAAATTCAGGATAAGCCTGGAAGTCTAGTGGTGCCAGACAAGACATGTTGAAATAATGCAAGAGCCAACCTGAAGGAACACCTACTGGCTAAAGCTGAAGCAATTTGAGTAAGAAAATAATGATAGTATTGGATTAGAACCCATAGATTAAAATCTTTACAAATCCTTACTGACATAAAGATATATGTATTTCATTAACTAACCAGAGGGGAAGAGAGAGCTCTTCCTTCCAATGGAATTCCAATTAATAAATCTGAGAGAAAAGAAAAAAAAATAGAGAATTACTGGCCATGCTCAGTGGTTCATGCCTATAATCCCAGCACTTTGGGAGGCTGAGGCAGGTGGATGGCTTGAGCCCAGGAGTTCGAGACCAGCCTGGGCAACATGGCAAAACCCCGTCTCTACAAAAAATAGAAAAATTAACCAGGTTTGGAGGTGTGTCCCTATAGTCCCAGCTATTCGGGAGGCTGAGGTGGGAGGATAGATTGATCCCAGGAGGTTGAGGCTGCAGTGAGCTGTGATCATGCCACTGCACTTCAGCCCGGGCAACAGAGTGAGACTCTGTCTCAAGGAAAAAAAAAAAAATACAAAACACAAAAATAGAGAATTACCATCAGGCAGAGATCACAATAATAAATACTGCACTGACACAAATGCACTGATAGATGCTAAAATTAGTAGGTGAAAGTTTGAGGAGAGAGAGCATTGCATAGTCTCAAAGTATCTCCCCAAGATACCAGCATACTAGAGGGAAAATAATAAATTTATAAGAAAACTCTTCAGACACCAAGTTAACTGAGTGATTGGGATAAATATCACCAGTAATAAGATGTATGGTATCATAAATGCTTTGATATTATCCATTGAGAAGGATCCACCATATTTTTTGTGGAATTGCCAAAAATGCATAACTTCATTCCAATCATAAAACACTGGAGAAACCCAAAGGGAAGGACGTTCTACTAAATAATTGATCAGGATTCTTCATAAGTGTCAAGGTAATGAAAAAGAAAAGACTGAGAAACTCTTATAGACTAGAGGAGACCAAAGAGAAATAACAACTAAATATGAGGTGGGATCTTGGATGAAATCCTACATAGAAAAAGGATATTAATAGGAGAATTGATAAAATTTAAATAACATCTACATTTTATTTAACAATATTTAATTAACATTAGTTTCCTGTTTAAGATAATTTATAATATGTGAGATGCCCACATTAGTCGACATAGTGAGGAATATAAGGTAACTCTGTACTATTTTTGCAACTTTTTTGTAAGTCTTACGTTAGTTCAAAACAGAGTTTTTAAAAAAGCTGTATACGATCATCTCAATAGGTACAAAGAAAGCTTTTGATAAAATTCAACACTTGTTCATTAGGAATAGAATAAAATTTTCCTTAACTTCATAAAGAGTGTCTTTAGAAAACCCAGAACAATTATCATCCTAATTGGAAAAATATTAGAAGCATTCCTTTTAAAATTCAGGAATATGACTAGGATACTACTATTACTACTTTTCTTCAACACCGTATTAGAGTTATTAACCAGTGCAATAAACATGGAAAAATAGATATGTAAAGATTGGAAAGGTAGAAATAAAACTGCCATTATTATAGATGGTTTACATACCTTTTCCCTCTGAAAACTACAAACAAATTATTAGAAATAATGTGAAAATTTAGCAAAGGAGCTGGATATAAGATTAACATACAAAAGTCAATCACATTTCTAGAGTGACTAACAATAACAAAGGAAGCTGCCATTGACAATAATATTATTTTGTACTAATAGTAATAAATGTAACAAAGTATGTGCAAGACCTAAAAAAGGAAAAATTTTTAAATGAAGAAAAACTAACAAAGAATGAAATAAACATATACTTTATTCATTGATTGGAAGATTTAACATTGTGAAGATTTCAGTTCTTTTCAAGTTGATTTGTAAATTCAGTGCATGTTCAATAAAAATCCTCGTAAGATTTCAAGGGCTCAGTGGCTCATGCCTGTAATGCCAGCACTTTGGGAGGCCAAGGTAGGAGGATCTCTTGAGGCAAAGAGTTCAAGACCAATAAGATTTTCATGTAATTTGATAAGATTATATGATATTTATGTAGAAGAGTAAGTGGTTGAAAACAGCAGGGCATTTTAAGAAGAAAAGCAGGGAAGAATAATTTGCCCTATCAGCTATCAAGACTTAGTATGAACCTATAGTAACTGAGATGGTGTGGTTTTGCCCAGTTGAAGTCAGTTAAATTTTAATTTTGAGATTTCTGTAAAAGATACAAGTTTAGTCTTTTATTATGTATATTTGAAGGTGTTACATTTTGGAAAGTGTGTGTGTGTGTGTGTGTGTGTGTGTGTGTATAAATGATAGCTAAATGGCTTCTAAGTAAAATTCAGCATATCTTGTATATGTTGATAGAATAGAAGGGGAAGGAATGTTTTGAAATAATGAAAATAACATGGTATGCAAATGCTTTGCAAGAGATTTGGGAAATGTAGATATCTCTGGTTTTAAGGATGATCTAGATTCAAGTAATAGTTCAGTAATTTCATAAAACTCTTATGACAAAATTCTGGATGGAGAATATTCTATGAATCCCCTAGAGAGTTTCAGGTTTTTGTAGAATTATGTGAAAAATCTTGAACTAATTAGATAATCTTTAGAAGTTACTTCACAATCTTTGTTTTTACACATACACAGGAATTTATGGTGCTTTATTTTTTACAGGTTAGTAGCTAAATAAAGTATATTCTAAAGTTTTTTATTGATGTAGGGAAATGGCTACCAGTGGACATTTTGAGAATATTGCAGTTGTTTTTCTTCTGAAAGAGTAAACCAATTTGGTTACTCATTTTACCAATTTGGTTTTGATTTTGCAAGTGGTTACAACTCATGAGAGGATTCTTATTTCTGATCAATATATTGTGTTTTTGGAAAGGACTTCTGGGAAATAATTATGATGAAGCCCTCGAGCAATTGCAACAAAACCAAAAATTGAAAAGTGGGACCTAATAATACTTTTTTAAAATTTATTTTTTAGAGACAGGATCTCACTCTGTTACCCAGGCTGGAGTGCAGTGGCCTGATCATGGCTCACTGCAGCCTCAGTCTCCCAGGCTCAAGAGATTCTTCTACCTCAGCCTCCTGAGTAGCTGGGACTACAGGTGCATGCCCCCATGCCCAGCTAATTTTTGTATTTTTTGTAGAGACCAGGTTTTGTCATGTTGCCCAAGCTGGCCTTGAATTCCTGAGCTCCAGTGATCCTCTTGTCTTAGCCTCCCAAAGTGCTGGAATTACATGTGTGAGCCACCACTCCCAGCCCCAGAACAACTATTATTAAAAAGTCAAAAAACGACAGATGTTGGTAGGCTGTGTAGAAAAGGAAATGCTCATACACTGTTGGTGCGAATGTAAATTAGTTCAGCCGCTGTTGAAAACAGTTTGGGGTTTTCTCAAAGAAGTTAAAACTGAACTATGATTTGACCCAGCAATCCCATTACTAGGTATATATCCAAAAGAAAACAAATTGTTCTACCAAAAAGACATAAGCACTTGAATATTCATTGTAGCACTATTCACAGTAGCAAAGTCATGCAATCAACCTAGGTGGCCATCAGTGGAGGATTGAATAAAGAAAATGTGGTACATATACACCATGGAATTCTACGCAGCCATAAAAAGGAATGAAATCAGGATGGTGCAGTGGCTCATGCCTGTAATTCCCACACTTTGACAGGCTGAGGCAGGCAGATTGCTTGAGTCCAGGAGTTTGAGACCAGCCTGAGCAAGGTGGCAAAACCCTGTCTCTACAAAAAATACAAAAAAATTAGCTAGGTGTGGTGGTGCACACCTGTGGCCCCAGCTATTTGGGAGGCTGAAGTGGGAGGATCACCTGAGCCCAGGAGGTGGAGTTTACAGTGAGCTGAGATTGTGCCACTGCATTCCAGCCTGGGCAATAGAGTGACACCTTGTCTCAAAAAAAATAAATAAATAAATAAATAAATTGCAGCAACACAGATGCAGTTGGAGGCAATTATCCTAAGTGAATTGAGGGAGGAACAGGAAACCAAATAACATGTATTCTCACTTATAAGTGGGAGCTAAACACTGGCTACTCATGGACATAGAGGTGGCAACAATACACACTGGGGACTACTAGAGGGAGAGGGTTGAAAAACTACCTGTTGGGTACTGTGCTCAGTACCTGGGTGACAGGATCACTTGTACCCCAAAGTTCAGTATCACGCAGTATTCCCAGGTAACAGACCTGCACATGTACACCCGAATCTAAAGTAAAAGTTGAAAAGAAAAGACTTCTGTTCTTTCATCTTTATAGTGAGGTGTTACATGTTTTACAAACCTAGTTCTGATAATGTGACAGGAATATAAATTTATCTTGAATATTATTAAATATATAAGTCAAAGATCAACACAATGTTTCCATGAGGTAGACTTTTTTTGGAATCTAAATAACCATGTGTTTCCATGTAAATTTTTATGAATCAGGGACAAATATATAATTTGATGTTAGAGATGTTTTTGTTCCCCAAAAGCTCTATCTTGTTCATGAAAAACGAAGCCCAGAGAAGTTATGTACAAGTTCACAGAGCTTATTATTGACAAAACCAGAATTTGAATACAACTCTTCTGATTCCAGATTTGCTGGAAATACTGTGAAAGAAGAACTCAGTCTGGTAGTATTACGTGTGGTTTTAATTTTTTCTTTGTAACTTTAGTTTGAATTTTATGTGTGTGTGAGCATCTGCATTTACTTTTAAAAACTTTTATTGTAAAAGCCTTCAAACATATACAAAAGTAGAGAATACAAAGCATAATGAACTTAAGTACCTATTAGCCAGCTTATTAAAACATGGTCAGTCTTGTTTCACCTGTTACATCCCTTTTCTTTTACTGTCTAAAGGAAGGAAAGAAGAAACACAAATCAGTTTATGGAGTCTGCTTTCTAAAAAGTACTTAAGTGTTTATTGCCAATATCTTATTTTGGTCAGCAATCAATCACGTACTCAAGCATACTTGTCTTACCTTCAGAGAAATTAAAATTTAATCAGCAAAACTCATCAGCCTGTACATTTAAAATATATGCATGTTATTGTACAGAAACTATACCTTAATAAAAAGTGAGAAAAAAAATGAGACAGGAAAGAGAAAAACATTTAAAGGACATAGTAACTGAAGAATTAAATAACCAATCCAACACTTGAAAAATATTACAATGTAGCACGTGCTCAAAAGCTCTCTGAGCTCAGGGAACAAAGCAGCACTGTGAATCTATAGTGGTAATCATTCTATGTGGTATTGGGTAGGACAAGACAGCCTTGCAGCTGGAAATTGGTGAGGACGGAGGCCTCGCTGTGGAAAGAGTAAGGCACACTCAGGGAGAGAACCAGTGAGGTGGCTCTGAGCCTGTTTCAGAAGGGGCTTGAGGAAGAACGGCAGAGGATAGGATAGTTGGGAAAGCAGGATCAAATCAGACTCCAGGGACTGGGGAACCAATTGGCTGTTACAGGGTGGTGGAGTCAAAAAAGAACAGAAATTTTCTGTTTGGTTAATTGATAGAAAATGATATTATTAACAAAGTAAAGAAGTATGGGAACAGCACAAGTTTTTTGGGGATAGTAAATAATTCCATTTCCATTGATTAAAAATATCAAGTTTGTTTTTACATCTAAACTGATTCAAGACTTAGCTATTGTACATGTTTTAGAGAAAGCAAAACTATATTTTATATCTAATCATACTTTACAACATAAAATACAGTTCTAAAAAATATTATTTGTGAAGAAAAATATAATGTTGCCATCTTTTGTCTGTCTGTATGTTTTTTTTCCCTTAGATTCCAGTGTAGTTAGTGAAGTTGTACTTCAAGACTTACTGGCATATGTGTCCTCAAAACATTCCTACCTCAGAGATCTTCCTCCGAGGCAGCCTCAGAGGGTGAACAGTATAGACTTTGTAGAATTGGAGCACCTTCAACCTGATGTATTAGTCCACGCAGTACTAAGAGTTGTTGATTTCACTATACTGACAGGTAAATATTTTGACTGCCTCCTTAATTTTAGATTATGAAAAAATTAAGATACAAGACCATCTTAGTGTACCATTTGGTTATCACTATATATGTATCATCAGCTATTAAAGTATGGTATCACGTGTGATAGAGTAATGCCAACTAAGGTACTCATTTTCCTTTTCCAGAGGCAGTATACAGTTATAGAGGACAGAAGCAGAAAAAAGTTATGTTAACAGTGGAACAGGCCCAAGATCAACATTATGCGCTTGTATTATGGGGTCCTGGAGCAGCCTGGTACCCTCAACTTCAAAGGAAAAAAGGTAAATACACCAAAAAGCATTTAACCTATTTATATTTCGGTAAATGATTAATGTTTATGAGCCCAAGATGGAGAAAATCTTAAGAGACGAGACAGCATTTGAAATACAAGTGATCATGATTGAATATTCTTCTGCAAATTTCTTCTGTTAAAATTTTGTACCTCTTGTAGCAATTCATTTATCTAATAAGTCTTCATTAATTAATGGTGGTGAAATAAAGTCTTAAATTTATTCCCAGGTATACTACTTTACCCTTTTAGTGAAGATCTTACCTCCTTCAAATAATGTTCTTTAAACATTTAATTCTGGAGAAGCTTCTACAATTTTTTTTCAGCCAGAGTACTCTGATAAATGCTATGGTTATAAGGCAGATGTCAAGGGAGTTACCTTAACTCTTTCAAGTCACAATTAATGTTCAATAAATTACTGTTTCATATTTTTATTATAGTTGTTTTAAAAGCATGCACTGTTAGCCATCCCTAGAATGTTCAGTGTTAAAATATGACCCATGATTACATTTTTCTTTAAAGCATAAATTATTTCTGGTATATTGAATTAAATGGAATTGATGTTTCATTAAAATAGTATAGTGTCTTCCCTTTGCTATTGTGAGATCCTTTAGTTGTAACAAAGACAGTTTCATTTGTGGCTTATGAGTTATTTTTCCCTGCTAAATTAATTTAGAGATTGATTCAGTATATTATTATTTTTTACCTGAAAGAGTTAATGTCTCTCCAAACTTCTGCCTTCCAAATAGTTATTTGTAGATAGGAGCTATCACATTGTCTCTCTTAATCATTAATAGCTATGACTAGGATTTGAGATAAGTCTAACTTTGGACTTTTATGTTAAGATCAAACAGGGACAGATGTTTGTTTGGTTGAGCAAGCTGACAAACATGTATCAGTGATAGACTAACTATGATCATTGACCACCATAGCCTGGCTGAGAACATGAGTCTAGTGCATGCTACACAAGAATGTAGGTCACAGGTATAGTGGAGCCGTAACAAAGCAGATTGCTCCATGTTTAATGTGAATATTCTTTTAAAATTAATAGTTTTTTGGTTAATAGAAGAGAAATTACAGTTGTCTCTAGGTGATTCTATGGTGTTTAGGTTAGTATTGAAAACATATGAATCCAGGAATTAAGATGTTGTTGTTCTTTGTACATTCATTCATCCAGCCCCCCTTATTTATAACCATCATTTTAAAGTTTTAACATCTACTTCAATACCTCACATCAGTCTTTTTAAGATAAAAATCCCAATTTTGAAGGATTACTTAAGTAATTCTATTTTCCTGATTTTACTTTTCTTTTCAAGAGACCAACCCCATTTCCAAATTCCCAGCAAAGAGAATCTGATTGCCCAGAGTAAATTTGATTCAAAAAACTGTGATCAGGAAGACAAGGTCACACAATACAAATATGAGAGCTTGAGCTTATTTCAGTGGATGGGAAAACAGTTAAGGGAGTCATTTGTGATCTGGGTGAATACATAAAGATATTCACTACCAAAAATGTGTATGTTCATTAGCTTAGAAAGATATATGTAATGTATTATTTAGTTTAAAAAGTAGATTATAGGCCAGGTGTGGTGGCTCACTCCTGTTAACCCAGTACCTTGGGAGGCTGAGGTGGGTGGATTGCTTGAGCCCAGGAGTTCAAGTTCTCATCTTAAAAAAAATAAAAAATAAAAAAAAATTGGATTGTAAAACTTCACGTATAGAAAATATGTTATCATATAATAAATATTTTTATGTTTATATAAGTTAATACATAAAAATTTTCAAGAAAACCCTTTATATATAATAGTATCTCATTTTAATAAAAATGTATCTATAAGTACATATGTGCATTTGAAAACCTGGAAATATGCATGTATAGCAAAATGCTAGCAGTGGTTATTTCTGTATGGTAGTATTATATGTGCTTTAATTTTTTCTTTATACCTTTAGTTTGAATTTCATATGTGTGTGAGCATCTGCATTTACTTTTAAAAACTTCTATTATAAAAGCCTTCAAGCATATATAAAAGCAGAGAGAATACTAAGCATAAGGCACTTTTTTTTTTTTTTTTTGAGACAGAGTTTCATTCTTGTCACCCAGGCTGGAATGTAGTGGCATGATCTCTGCTCACTGCAACCTCCTCAAGTTATTCTCCTGCCTCAGCCTCCCAAGTAAGTGGAATTACAGGCATGTGCCGTCATGCCCAGCTTATTTTTGTATTTTTAGTAGAGACGAGGTTTCACCATGTTGGCCAGGCTGGTCTCGAACTCCTGATCTCAGGTGATTCACCCGCCTCAGCCTCCCAAAGTGCTGGGATTATAGGCATGAGCCAGCCACCGCACCCGGCCAGCATAATGAACTTAGGTACCTATTAGCCAGCTTATTAAAACATGGTCAGTCTTGTTTCACCTGTTACCTCCCTTGTCTTTACTGTTTAAATATTTCACAATAAATATATTTTATTTTATAATTAAAAATAAAATTAAAACCTTATGCTTTTTAAAATAAAAGAATAGTTAATGTTTGGAAAATCTAGCTAACAATGTGAGAAAAAATAGAATTAAATTTATACTTTATGTTTGTGCCAATATAAATTTCAGATACATTAGAGATTCAAATACAAAAATAATGAAACAATGAATAGTAGAAGAAAATATAGGCAAAATTATTTGTAATGCAAAGGTTGGTAGGGTAAATAAAATCCAGGAACAAAAACTATTATACATAAAAACCACCATGTACAAAATTGAAAGGCAACCAAAAAAAAACAGAAAAAAAATTACATTGTCAGAAAATAATGCAGTAAGCAAAAGACACATATCTATAGAGATAAATGGGGAAAGGATATGAGTAGGCAAGTCCCCAAAGAAGAAATAAAAATGGCCAATAAATATATGGAAAAATTGTTCTTACAAGTAATTGAAAACACACAAAGTAATGATGATAGATGATTTTTCTTTTAAGAAATTGATAGAGAAGATATGGGAAAACAGCTACTGTCATCAGCTATTGGAAATGCAAACTGGCAGAACCTTTCTTGAGGATAACTGACAATTAATATGAACAAATTGGGGGTACTTTTAGCCCAATAATTTTAGCTATAGGAACTTATCATAACTATGTATAAAGATGTAGCTGAAAATGGGTTTATCATGGTATCATGTATAATTGTGAAAAATAAAAAACAACCAGAGTCCCTCAAAATAGAGGTTTGCTGTAATAATTTTTAAGATTTTGGTGTATCTGGACAATGGCATATTATGTAATATTTAAAAGCAATGTAGAATAATACATACATATAAAACTATATTTGACTTATTAAGTCAATCCCAATAAATAAAATCCCAAACAACTGGTTGTCCGCTAAAATGTTAACTGCTTATTTAGGGTGTTGAGATTATGGCTGCTATATGTTTATTTACTTGGCTTCTCTTAGCTTACTTTTCTAATCAGGTATTTTGTAATAAGACAAGAAAGCTATTTTAGTGATTGGTTTTAAGCAGTAACTTGGAATATATGCTTTAGTTCTAGCTAGTGATGCTCTGTCTTTACAGATTTACTGAGATGTTTGATGATTTTCCACCAAAAAAAAAAAAAAAAAATCTCTAGTGAAAGAAACTAAGGAGATGAGCAGGTGTAGTAAATTAGATTTATGGCCTGAAGTGAGAAACTAAAAAGACAGCTGATGTTATCAGAAAAATTAGTGCTAAGAAACCCTCTTTTGTTTTATTATAGTTTTGAAGTTGAATTTACTAATACAGAATATGATAATACAGATAAGTTGAATTTACTAATAGAGAATATAACAGTAATAAGGTCTGTGTTATTGTGGCTTTAAGTATTAGAATTGTGGCCGGCGTGGTGGCTCCCGCCTGTAATCCCAGCACTTTGGGAAACCGAGGCGGGCGGATCATGAGGTCAGGAGATCGAGACCATCCTGGCTAACACGGTGAAACCCCGTCTCTACTAAAAATGCAAAAAAATTTAGCCGGGCGTGGTGGCGGGCGCCTGTAGTCCCAGCTACTCCGGAGGCTGAGGCAGGAGAATGGCTAGAACCTGGGACGTGGAGCTTGCAGTGAGCCGAGATTGCGCCACTGCGCTCCAGCCTGGGCAACAGAGCGAGACTCCATCTCAAAAAAAAAAAAAAAAAAAAATTGTTACTGAGAGTTAAAAATAAGTACAATTGTGTCTAAATGCTTTTTGTTCTAGAAAAGTTAACTAAAATAACTATTGAAATATGAGTGAAATATTAGACTTGGGTTCATTTCAGTGTCCTTTCTTTAACAAAACAAAACACAACTTTGCCTATAGATAGATACATGAGAATTTTCTTTACAGAAAGCAGTTGGTTATTATAAATGATGACCGTTCAGGAGGGCAAGGAATCTTTAGAAAATATTTTATTAAAATTATCTCTGGTGGCCCGGCACGGAGGCTTATGCCTGTAATCCCAGCACTGTGGGAGGCCGAGGTGGGCGGATCATGAGGTCAGGAGTTCAAGACCAGCCTGACCAACATGGTGAAACCCTGTCTCTACTAAAAATACAAAAATTAGCCGGGAGTGGTGGCACGCACCTGTAATCCCAGCTACTCAGGAGGCCGAGGCAGGAGAATCACTTGAACCTGGGAGGTGGAGGTTTCAGTGAGCCGAGATCACATCACTGCTCTCCAGCCTGGGCAACAGAGTGAGACTCTGTCTTGGAAAATAATAATAATAATAATAATAATCTCTAGCATGCTTCTGTTGTCTTAATGCATCATTCATATTTTGTCTCTGTTTACCCAAATTCTTTAGTGATAAAAGATTAGATTCAACTGACTTAATCAGATCAATCTATTTAATCTGATACTAAGCCTAGATTTTTTTCCTTTTTGGTGACTTTTGTTTTTACTGTTTTTTTTAAGGTTATATTTGGGAATTTAAATATCTTTTTGTTCAGTGCAATTACACACTAGAAAACCTAGAATTGCATACAACGCCTTGGTCATCCTGTGAGTGCTTGTTTGATGATGATATAAGGGCAATTACATTTAAAGCAAAATTTCAAAAAAGTGCACCCTCCTTTGTGAAGATATCAGACTTAGCAACCCACCTAGAGGATAAGTGTTCAGGTAAGATCTTTATATACATAAATTCTGCTATTTTTATTTCTTTTGAAACAGGGTCTTGCTCTGTTGCTCAGGCTGGAATACAGTGGTGTGAACACAGCTCACTGCAGTCTCCACCTCCCAGGTTTAAGTGATTCTCCCCGTTCAGCCTTTCGCGTAGCTCAGGAGGGAAGGGAAGGCTAGTGCATACCATCAGTGCATGCCACCACACCCAGCTATTTATTTATTTATTATTTTGGCAGAGACAGAGTCTCCCTATGTTGCCCAGTCTGGTCTCAAACTCCTGGACTCAAGTGATCCTCTTGCCTTGGACTCCCAAAGTGCTGGAATTACAGGCATGAGCCACCACACCCAGCCCACTGCTAGTTTTAATATAAGCAAAAAGGCTACCACTTGTGGTAAAAATGTATAATTCTATATAAAAGTGAAATATAAATCTTTGCAAATATCTGAACTAGATTCCAGTAGTTTTAGGAACTATGTGCCAGGAACCAGGGACAAAGAGCAAATACCTATTTTTTATTATATGACAAGTGGGAGCAGAAATTCAGTTCCTTACTTTATCTTGGCCAAATGCCAGATTAAAATGTTACTAGTTGGGTTAATTCACATATATGTATAAATATGTTTTCCAATATATGATTGAAGGTTAGCATTGTTATATCATAAAACTATGCTAAGGAGAATACAGGCAGAAAACAAAGACAATACCTCTCAAAAAACCCAACTTTTAATTGAATACAGAGATTTCATTCTCAAAGAAGAGCTCCTTATTCCTAGTTCTACACTGAAACATTTACTAATACCAGCAGATAGTTTAAATTAATAATATTTCTGGAAGGTAAACACAGATGATAGAAAATTTATAAGCTTTTATACTATAAAAATTTCATACTATTTTCAAAAATGGAAGTTGCCTATGGTCATAAAAGACTCTAGATTTATACTAACTGGTAAAATCTTGGTAATGTTATAGCATCATGTAAGTTCCTAAGCCAGTTTTATATTTATGTGCCCCTCCCGTGCTCTGCTTCTCCAACTTCACAGACATATAGAGGTGGTCACCACAGGAAGGAATGCCAGACACAGTTGAGGGGCTACATTACTTTGCAGAGACGTTTAGTTTGGTGCCATGGAGAAGTCAACTCTGTTATTTACTGCTTACACAAAACAGTTATCTGCTGGGATTGAAGTCTAGAATTAGGTTTAAAAATAAAAATAAATAACATCATGGACAACAACAAAATAGGAGGCCACCATGCTGATGATGAAAGATTCTGAGGCTATAGCCCCACTTGTTTGAGGACGCAGCCAGGAATTGTGCATGTTCTTGGAAGTCCTGGAGGTGTGCTCCTCATTAGCAAGCCATGCCAAAACTGTGCCATTAAAATCAGTCCTTCAGAGGCTTTGTTCACAGAGGCCTGTTTAGCCTCTTTCATTCTCTTTATGTTCAGCTATGAGGGCTGAATTCATAGTTTCTGTCATAGTGTATGTGTTTTTAAGACAAAAATGGGGAGAGAATATGAAAACACAAGGAACTTTTCCCTAACCTATTTTATAGTTAAACAAAAGGAGAAAGAGAGATCAGCATGGGAGCATTTCCTAGAAGGGTCTGCTTGCTCAACAAAAGCCAGAGGGGGATGAGGCTAGGCCTGAGTCCTTGTAAAGAAATGAAGACGCTTACCCAGTACCTCATCTTACCGCCAGCAGAATTTCAGTGCTCAGCCGGAGTGACCCCCTTGAAAGCAAAGTCCACATTCAGCATGACCTTTTAATTCTTTTCAAGAGTTGTGTAAATTTACAAAATGATAGGATTATGTGAACATTCTTTTAAAATTATTGAATTATTAAGAATTTTTTAGGCTGGGCAGGGTGGCTCATGCCTATAATTCCAGCACTTTGGGAGGCCGAGGTGGGTGGATCATTTGAGGTCAGGAGTTTGAGACCAGCCTGGCCAACGTGGTGAAACCCTGCCTCTACTAAAAATACAAAAATCAGCCAGGCATGATGTCGGGTGCCTGTAGTCCCAGCTACTTGGGAGGCTGAGGCAGGAAAATTGCTTGAACGCAGGAGGCAGAGGTTGCAGTGAGCCGAGATTGCACCACTGCACTGCAGACTGGGTAACAGAGCAATACTCTGTCTCAAAAAAAAAAAAAAAAAAAAAAAAAAAGACTTTTTGAGTGGAGGGAGGAGAGCAAGGGTTTAAAAACTAACTGTTGGGTACTCTGCCTACTACAGGAGACTCTACTTGGGTGATGATATGCCCATGTAACAAACCTGCACATCTACCCTCTGAATCTGAAATAAAAATCGAAATTTTTTTTTTTACATAATTTTTTAGGCCAGACACATTGGCTCAAGCCTGTAATCCCAGCATTCTGGGAGGCCAAGAAGAGTGGATCACTTGAGCCCAGGAGTTGGAGACCAGCCTGGTCAACATGGCAAATCCCCATCTCCACAAAAAAATACAAAAATTAGCCAGGTGTGGTGGTGTGTGCCTGTAGTCCCAGCTACTCAGGAAGCTGAGGTGGGAGGATCACTTGTGCCCAGGGAGGTTGAGACTGCAGTGAGTCAAGATTGCACCACTGCACTCTAGCCTGGACGACAGAGTGAGACTGTCTCAAAACAAAAAAAAATAATAATAATTTTGTAGTGATTTGACATGTCTTTGGAAAGATGTGGTATTGAATCTTCTACAGTTTGTTACATATTCGATCGCTACACACTCCTGCTAACTCATGTAGGGATATGTGACACAATTGGAAGAGATGATGAAACCATCTTTGGGCATTGAAAGACTAAAGCAAATGAAGTTAAGAACAGAAGACTCATCATTAACTGGACTCTGAAAGAGATAACCAGAAAACAGTAGGAGACTAGAGTGATTAGTTCTTGACCTGGAGTGTTCTTACTTCTAAGTGGATGAAGAAGAACAAATTTGAAGGCTTAAGGCTTAAAGAAGCCTTTAAATTGACTATGGAGAAAGGGAGAATAATGCTCAGGAAAACTCATAGACCTCACCAGTACACAGTAAGACGAAAGTAAATTAGGAAAAAATAATGTCTGGGAGATAGTAGATATTCAGTATTTGTTTACTGGTGAATGGATGAGCCATTAGCAGTGAATTATGAATATGCTTGAGGTTTCTTGTGAGTCACCTGAGAAACGATTAATAAATGAGAACTTTTTATAACCCACACCCAGAGTATATAGATGATAATGGTGAGCGGAAAGTTGGAAAAAAGTTTAAAAGAGAACAGGCTATTGATATTTTTAGGTAGAGAGAAGAAGAAAAGTTCACCTCCTATTTGGCTTTTTTTTTTTTTTGAGACGGAGTCTTGCTCTTTCGCCCAGGCCGGAGTGCAGTGGTGCGATCTCGGCTCACTATAAGCTCTGCCTCCCGGGTTCAAGCCATTCTCCTGCCTCAGCCTCCCGAGTAGCTAGGACTACAGGCGCCAGCCACCGCGCCTGGCTAATTTTTTGTATTTTTAGTAGAGACAGGGTTTCACCATGTTAGCCAGGATGGTCTCGATCTCCTGACCTCGTGATCTGCCCGCGTCGGCCTCCCAAAGTGCTGGGATTACAGGCGTGAGCCACTGCGCCCGGCCCCTATTTGGCTTTTCACTATGATCAGTTTAAGAGAAGACAGGGCAAGGAGAGAGGACATGTTAGCTAGTTTCAAGTATTCGAAGGGATTTCTTCTAAAGGAGGTATTGAACTTATTTTGCCTGATTCCAGAGGATGGGGAAGGAAGGAAACATCACATGTTCAGCCAAATTAGCCAAGTAAACCTGCTCTCAGTTGCAGCCAGACATCCCTGCCCTTAGATTCTAGGAAAATAGTAAAGAAGACGAAGAACAAGACCTCAGTGTATCCTTTTACTACAAGTGACTGTAAATCAACTATAAAATTAGCCATGTTTGTAAATTAAAGTTATAATTTTGGCCCAATAATTTATAATATATCTGTTTGTTGTTTGTAGGAGTGGTTCTGATTAAAGCCCAGATTTCAGAGCTGGCATTTCCTATTACAGCATCTCAGAAGATAGCGCTAAATGCTCACAGTTCTCTGAAGAGTATTTTTTCTTCTCTTCCCAACATCGTATATACTGGTTGTGCAAAATGTGGATTGGAACTAGAAACAGATGAGAACAGGATCTACAAACAATGTTTTAGCTGCTTGCCATTTACTATGAAGAAAATATATTATAGGTAAGGCAACTAAGCAAGCCAATTTGATGGAAAATAATTATTATAGATCTGGAAAAATTAGTCTGTAAACCCTTACTTTCTAAAAATAATTAACTAGAGCTAGTCGAAGAGAATAAAATTTTCCGAGTGATAGATAGCTATTTATGGAAGCAAAAATTACCCAGGAATCGTTATAGGAATTTCTTAAAGATAGGAATTTCTTAAAGCAGTAATTGGGAGATTTTATTGTCTTCAAACAGCTGTACCAAAGAAACATTTTCCTTGGTTTACTTTTTAACCAAAATCTAAATGCTCATAAATAACTCATTTTCCCACCTTAACATAGAATTTAAGGGCTAAAAGTATCATATGATCTCACCTCTGAGTTGTTGTGGAAGCTAGTAAGACATTTAAGGTGTTTTCCCACCTTTACCTTAGAAATTAAAGCTAGCAAATAAATGTTGTATGGTAAAACTGCTAATCAGCTCAGTGAAAAACACATTGTTTTTTGAATAATAGGTAGTCAAAAGCTCAGATATTTTTCTCTTTACCTCATAAATTACATGTGTTTACAAAATAGCACTCAGTGTTTTATGCTCCTTATGATTATTTCTAAATATTGCGGTATCTAAAAACCAAATTCAGATATATTCCACATGTTATCATGGCATACTTCAAGAAAAGTTATAGAAGCTTAATTTGTAAACCTTATTTCTCTTTACAGATATTATGTTTGTTATAAATAAGTGAATAAATTTTGCTATTACTGTGAAAGTTGCTTTTGTGGAAAAGAAGATTGAATTAAGATGTATGGTAGGCTGGGTGTGGTGGCTCACGCATGTAATCCCAGCACTTTGGGAGGCCGGGGTGGGGGGATCGCTTGAGCCCAGGGGTTCAAGACCAGCCTGGGAAACATAGGGAAACCCCATCTCTACCAAAAAAAAAAAAAAAAAAAAAGCTGGGCAGGTGACATAGGCCTGTAGTCCCAGCTACTTGGGAGGCTGAGGCAGGAGGATTGTTTGAGCCCAGGAGATCGATTGTTACAGTGAGCTATGTTTGCACCACTGCACTCTAGCTTGTGCAACAGAGTGAGACCCTGTCTCAAAATCAAAACAAAAAATGCATGGTATGTAACAAACAACATTGATTTATTAATAGTTAAGGCCCCTCAAAAGTATGTATAGGTGACTTATTTATGTCATTCCAAATGTTTCTATTCAATATAAGCATTTATTGGACAAAAATGTTGCTCAATACTATTCCTTATGGGGAGGAGGGCCTTTGAATCTTTAGTTTACAAAATGACTGTTCAAGAGAAGGACTTCACAGATCAGTATCACCTGATTATGGCATAACTAGTATGAGGTATTTAAGATCTCTTCCTAAACTATACCACATTAAAGATGTAGTGCTAGTTTGTTGTCTTACTAGAATGTTGAATGGTCATGTTAAGGCAAGAATTATTATTTTTTATTTATTTACAAGCCTTTTTTTTTTATTTTTTGAGACAGAGTTTCGCTCTTGTTGCCCAGGCTGGAGTGCACTGGTGCGATCTCAGCTCATCGCAACCTCTGCCTCCCAGGTTCAAGTGATTCTTCTGTCTCAGCCTCCCAAGTAGCTGGGATTACAGGCATGTGCCACCACGCCTGGCTAATTTTGTATTTTTATAGAGACAGGGTTTCTCCATGTTGGTCAGGCTGGTCTCGAACTCCTGACCTCAGGTGATCCACCCGTCTCAGCCTCCCAAAGTGCTGGAATTACAGGTGTGAGCCACCAAGTGCAGCCTAAAAGCCTTTAAATTGTTATTAGAGTCCAGATTATATGGTTTCCTTGAAAAGAAAATATTGAAATTAACAAACTCCCTTCAAGTTATCAAGTATGTGACTCCAAAATCATCTACATAAATCAATCAGCAAACTGAATAAGAGAAAACTCTCATTGATTATTTTTCTAAGACTCAGTCAAATATTTATTAGGAATCCACGTATGTTCACATATCACATATGTACTGTGGATGTTATACTAGTTGACCTAAGTAGACTTATTGTGCCCAAGAAGCTTGGTAGTCCATTTAAGAAACACTTAATGAACATTTGTGTGGCATAACAGTCCCAGACTATGAGTGGGTTGATCATATTTTACATTGGTTGTAACTTGGAGCTGATTTTCCAATGGAAGCAACATTAGATATTGCATTGGAGTCTCATACGAGGCCACAGACATTTATTAAATTAACATGTAGATAGCATAGTTCCTGTTCTTCAAGCTATCATAAAACTCAAATACCATTTTTAACAATGTTTCTACAGAATATTCAGATTTACATTTTTGGAATACAAGAAATACATTTATTTTTCTGTACTAGAAGCAAAAAACCCCAGCAGGTCAAACCACAATTAAGGCTCCTATTTAGGCAGCACTAGGAAATGTTTGGGTCTCTCAAGAGGTTATAGTCAAGGTGTAGGCTGGGGCTGCAGTCATCTGAAGGCTTGACTGGGGCTGGAGGATTCATTTCCAAAGTGGCTCATTCGTATGGCTGGCAAGTTGAGTTCCTCTTCACTTGGGTGTCTCCACGGGCTGCCTGAATGTTCTCACAAAGTGGCAGCTCATTTCCTCAGAGCAGGAAAGGCAAGAAAGAGAGTTCCAGGTGGAAGCCAGCCTTTTTGTGACCTAGACTCAGAAGTCATGTGGCATCACTTCTACCAAATTCTGTTCATCAGAAGTGAGTTAGCTGTGCGTTGGAGAGTGGATTAGAATGAAGCTAGTGCAGAGAAGCGGTAAGAGGCTGTTGCCTTATTTTGGAGGGGAGATGATGGTGGCTTGACTAGAGAGGAAGTGGTAGGAATAAAAAGAAGTGGACAGATTTGAGAATGGTCGGAAAATAGTTTGCAAGATGTAGTGATTGGTAGGTAAAGAGAGAGCACAGGTACATTGCAAATCATTGACAGTTGGGTGAACAATAAGATTATTTATTAAAACAAGTAACCTTGGGAGAAATGTTGATCATATTGAGCTTGAGTTCCTGAGAGGTAACAAGTTGGAAAGTGGTTAGATGTAAAGAAATGCAATTTGCAAGAGAAGTCTGGGCTAGGCTTATAAGGTTATTTGTGGTAATTGAACTTTTGCTTGGTTTCTGCACCCTGTTTTGTTTTTCCTTCTTAATCTTCAGTGATTACCTCTCATAATGGATTATTCTCACTAGCCTATAAAGACACTCCCATATTTCTTTTATTAAAAAACAAACAAAATCATCCATTAACATTACATCTCCCTCTTGTCCCTTCGTTTTTCTATTCTGTTTTATACCCAGCCAAACTTTGTTAAAGAGTTTTAAATATACTCTCTCTCCCCTATTATGTCTTCAGTTTCACTTCAGTTATTCCATTCTACTCCTACCATGCTGCAGAAGCTGCTTTTGTCAAAGTTACACTTTTGATGTTGCCTGAGGCATGGATACTTCTTTCCTCACTCTAACTGCTCTCAGTTATATTCAGCATGTCAGTCCACTTCCTCCTTCTTGAAACAGCCTCCTCCTTGCTTTCTAACCTGTCTCTCAGGCCCTTCTTTCTCAGCCTCTTCTACCCCCTCTTTAAATGCTGGGGTTAATCTTGAGCTCTCGTCTGCGTCCTTCCTCTTATTCTTTCTGTACATTCTGCCTGGATGATCACAGCTGTTTTCGTATTTGTACTTAACATCTTCACCCTGATTTTCTCCTCCAGGCTCCAGTAGTCAGGTATCAAATTCTTTGCTTGACGTCCATCTCACATTTAAACATACCCACAATAGACTCTTGTTTTTCCTAACCACACTCAAATCTAGTTCTCTTCATTTTTATACTTTCTGGAAAATGGCACACCATCTACCCAATTATTTAGGCTGGAAACCTGGGCACAATCGTCGCATCATTTTCTCTTCCCTACCTCCCCTATCTAATCTATTAGCAAGTCCTAGGAATTTTCATTCAGAACTATATCACAAATTCATCCACTTTTTTCCATCTCCACTGCTAACATCTTAGTCCAGTGTATCTCAGCAGGGGCATTGTTGACATTTTTCTCAGGACAGTTTCTCATTATGTACCATATCCCACATGCTGCGGGGCATGTGGCATCCCTGTTTACCTTCCCCTAGCTGAACCTCAATTACTGTGAAACCAAAATGGAAAGTCAGTGCCTGCTGGTCTGGAATCACTCAGGCCTCATCTGAGTCCCTACGACCTGTTGCGCAAACCAGCACACCAGCAGTCTCTTGGTGGGGCTCCTCCTGGCCTTGCCTCCTCCCCTTTATTCTCTACCCATTGGCAGTGTGATTACCCTTTGCCTTTGCTTCACCCATCAGTCGTCTCCTTATGCTTGTTTCCTCTGCAGTCTCATCTGCTGCCACTCCCCTGTCGTCCAGCACTCTAGCCACGTGGCCTTCTTTCAGTTCTTCATTTTGATTTTTCTCCTTAGGATGTTCTCGAATGTCTTCCTTCTGTCTGACTCCACAAGGCTGGTTTCTTCATGTCTTAGATTAAATGCTGCTTTATCAGAGAGGCCTTTCCTAACCACTCTTCTTTATTTTCTGTTATAGTAGCCTGGGTGTGCTTACTGTAATTTGTAGTTGCATACTGTCTTTTCTAGAAAACATTTTTACTGAAGTTAAAATTCATATACCATCAAATTAATCTTCTGAAATGTACAATTCAATGGCTGTAGTATATTCCCAGGGCTGTGTAGCTATCACCACAACCAGTTAGGACATTTTCGTCACCCAGCCCTTTACAAAGCCTCATACTCATTAGCAGTCACTCTCCATTCCCCATGCCCCTCAACCTATGGCAACTACGAATCTGCTTTCGGTCTCTATAGATTTGCCTGTTCTAGATATTTTATATAAATATTATATAATATGTGATCTTTTGTGACTGGCTTCACTTAGCATGATGTTTTCAAGGTCCATCCATGTTGTAGCATGTATCACTACTTCCTTTTTATTGCAAAATAATATTGTATTGTATGCATATACCACATTTTATTTATCCATTCATCAGTTGATGGACAATTGGGTTGTTTCTACTCTTTGGCTATTATGAATGATGCTGCTGTGAACATTTGTGTACAAGTTTTTGTGTGGATATGTGTGTTCATTTCTCTTGGGTATATATTTAGGAGTGGTGGAATTGCTGGGTCATATGGTAACTGTCTGTTTAACCTTTTGAGGACTACCAGGCTGTTTTCCAAAATTGCTGCACAATTTTACATTCTCATCAGCAATATGAGGGTTGTAATTTCCCCATATTCTTGCCAGTACTTCTTATTCTGTATTTCTTTTTGTTGCATGTGCTTTCGGGTCGTATCTAAGAAAGGTGTCATTTCTAAGCCAAGGTTATGGAGATTTGCTCCCGTATTTTCTTCTAAGAGTTTAGTAGTTTTACCTCCTACATTTAGGTTTATTATCTACTTTGAGTTAAGTTTTGTATGTGGGATAAGGAAGGGGTGTAATTTTATTTTTTGGCATGTGGATATCTAGTTGTCCCAGCGTGAATTTTTGAAAAGACTGTTCCATCCCTGTTTAGTCATCTTGGCACCACTGTTGAAAAGCTTATTTTCTTTCTTCTTCTTTTTGTAGAGATGAGGTCTCATTGTGTTGCCCAGGCTGGTCTCAAACTCCTGGCCTCAAGCAGTCCTCCTCACCTTGGCATCCCAAAGCGCTGGGATTACAGGCATGAGCCACCGCGCATGCCCAATTTCTTCCTATCCCTCTACAGTTTTACGTTCCTTGAGTGACGGAACCAGATTTGTCTTTTTCACTAGTGGGTACCCAGCACTTACCACAGTCCATGATAGATACTCAGTTTATATTTGTTGAAATAAATAATGGAGGGAGAGAGAGGCTGAGGAAAGAGTGTAGAGTGAAAAGAGGAAGGAACATAGAGTCATCGTGTGAATAAAGGGGGAAGTGGGTTTTTAGGGGGAAAATCAGTAGTTATGTTTTAGCTCTGTCACATTAAATTCCCCCGCTAATGAGCCTGTTTCTGAATTCTGTTCTCAATTTATTTTTTAAAAATCAATGTAGTTATAAAATAGGTACCACATGCCATGATTAAAATGCACACTACATAGGAGGTTACAAAACAAAGAGTGAAAGTCTCCTTCACCATCCAACCCTCTCTCACCAGTGCTGCTTCCATTGCTGGTGAGAAGGTTTTTTGTATGTCCTTCCAGTGATTTATTATGTTCATCCCAGCACATGTGTATCCCTTTCTTTAGAAGCATGTGGACAGAAGAATATTGTTCATGTTGTTGTTCCCTAGAGTCTATCCTGGTGCTCCTTCCCTAATAGCACTTGCAAATGTTCTTCATTCTTTTTATCAGCTACATAGCATTAAGATGTAGGATGCACTGAAAATTGTTAATCCAGTTCCCTGTTTATTGATATGCAAAACAGTTTATTTCTGATAGGAAAGAATTCAGTTGAAAAAAGTAACTTGAAATTGTGATTGTGAAATATGTGATTATTATTTTTATTTTCATTTCTAAAAATAATTTATAAAACAGTTTAATATATTTTTATATTAGTATCTGAAATTTAAAAATGGATATAGAATAAATAAAATGTAGTAATTTATCATTTGAAGCTCTTGGGGAAAAAAAAAAACCTTTTTTTCCTTCTAGGATGTCACAGAACATCCTAGAGTTGTTTTAGGCATTCAAATTAATCCTGCATAAAAACCAAGTGCTTTTTGGAATTATTTTTCATTTAAGCATTTCTTTTATCTGAAAATCTTTTTGAAGGTCGTGTGTTGTTTACTCTTTTGTAGGCCAGCGTTAATGACTGCCATTGATGGAAGACATGATGTTTGTATCCGTGTAGAATCAAAGCTGATAGAGAAGATTCTTCTCAACATTTCTGCAGACTGCCTCAACAGAGTGATAGGTAATATATCAGTGTGCCATCAAGAAGTTGTTTTATTCAGGAGTATAAATGGTATATCGGAACAGAAAGAGCACTGTACTTTAAATTAAGAGCTTTTCTGTCCATATGAAAACCGAAGGATAATTTAGCTTAAGTGAAATATAAGCCTATGTAAGTTAGAAGGTTGACTTGCTTTACACCTGTTAGTACATGAACAGCGGGAGGCACCTAATTTCTTCTTAACCTACATTTCCTGTTGGTAAGCAAAAACTATTTTACTTAACTCTAGTTTTATAAGAGTGAAGTCAATGAGTGTGTGACATAATATATATGAAGATAGTCCACTGTCAGTGGAATGGATTTGCAAGATCTTCAACCGTGATGTCTTAGTTGTCAGTGGCTAAGAATAAAGCAAAGATAATATATTTGTCAGGTATTCAAACTCCATTCCTGTTCTCATTAGCCTCAGATCCTCTAAGCTGATGAGCTAATCTGGTTCCGTGATTGCTTTATCTTTCAATAGTAGATTGTTTTTCGTGTATTTTTTTAGTTGGGGGTGTCTAGTAATTTTGGGTTGAATGCTGAACATTGCATATATTAAGTAGAACAGTACAAACTGAGGTAAATAGTATTTGTACCTGGAAACAGGCATGCCTCTCGGTCCTTTACTGGAGGTGAGGGGTGAGCAGGATGGTCAGTCTTGTCATAAGTTGAGTTGGATTCAGGTTTTGTTGTTTCTCTGGTTACCTTCAGGTCACCACTGGTTTCAAATTATCTTGTGCTTATGGTGGGAAGTGGTTCCCCAGTATTCCTGCTCCACCATCAGCATAGCCCTCCACTCTGCACCTGGGCCTCAGAGAAAGTTTCTTTCCACGTTCTTGCACCTCCCCAAGTTGCACAAGCTTTTGTTGGTTGTTATTTGGTGCATCCTAACCTGGTGGGCGGGAGCAGGGTTGTTCCTCTTTGATTCTGGTCCAGCCCCAGTCTTATACAGGATGTTGAATATGGCGCTTTCTTGGTAGCCCTGTCCCTTATGTGGCATGGCAGCTGAGCTCTGTCTTGTGCCTTTAGTGGGTCTTGTGTGGTCCTGGCCCTGCCCCAGCAGTAGGGGACCACTAATGGTCTTGACCCAGGGTGGTTTTTCAGTCCTCCCCCAGGATGGAGGGGTTTTTTTTCTTTTTTCTTTCCCCCATCTGTACTGGTTCCTCACCTGTACCCTGGGGCAACAGGATTTGGTGTCCCTCCTCCAGCAGTTGAAGGCTTTTGTTCCTTAAAGGGGAGGCCAGATGGTGCTTTGTGTTTTGTAGTTGGAAGCTTTCTCTGATGTCTTGCCCTGCCCCCAGTCTTATGAGCACCTGGTGGAGGTGAGACTACTATGTGGAAGAGCCTGTGAGGATGCAGATGTTCCTTATGTTGCTGACACTGGCAGTTCATTGGCTTTTTGCAATTAATTTATTAATAAAAATTAATCACATTCTTCTTTCCTGCCTGTATGGAGGACCTGTCTTCTTCCCAAGGCCTGCCCCAAGGGAAACTGTGCTCCTGTTCCATCTCCCTGGAGGCACCTGTCTCCTTATGTTTCAGTCTTTTTGGCTGTTTTACAACCTTGGTTCTCATGTGTATTCAAGAAAATGATGATTTGATATTTATTCAATTTTTTCCAGTAACTGTTAGGGTAGGAGCCACTTTTTCCAGCTTTCTACATCTTAATTAGAAGCCTCTCTCCGTTTTTTTCCCCCATTTTCTTTATTTCATTTTTATTCTTTTGGCTATTTTCATTCCTTTTCTTAATGTTACTTATATATTTTCAGTGTAATCTCTTCTTTTTTTTTTTTTTTTGAGATGGAGTTTTGCTCTTGTTGCCTAGACTGGAGTGCTGTGGTGCGATCTCAGTTCACCATAACCTCTGCCTCCTGGATTCAAGCAAGTCTCCTGCCTCAGTTTCGCAAGTAGCTGGGATTACAGGCATGCGCCACCATGCCCGGCTAATTTTGTATTTTTAGTAGATATGGGGTTTCTCTATGTTAGTTAGGCTGGTCTTGAACTCCCAACCTCAGGTGATCTGCCTGCCTTGGTCTCCCAAAGTGCTGGGATTACAGGCGTGAGCCACCGTGTCCGGCCTATCTCTTCTTTTTTGCATAATGTAAATTAGTCTTTATCTCTTAGAGAAGCATCATTCTCATATCACATATACTTCAGTGTTTTGTCCATTCTTGAGACAATTAAAGTTGTACTACTTGGCATTAATTAGATTGTGATCATAAGTCAAAATGTCATTGGTTATAAAGTGGTCATCAGACCATGCAGACTATTACTAATATTGGTTATGTTTTAGTTTATTGCAGTGAAAATACAAAATTTAAAAGTTATTGTAGAGAATTATCATACCCCCCAAAATATGTCATTGGTCCTCCAGGACTCTGTAGTCCCCATCCAAGAAAGACTGTGATAATTGTCAAGGGGTTAGTACGGTCTGAGCATGGTTGATGGTGCTCTGTCATTCTGGTATTGAACAACCTGCCAAATGTCTTGATTACATGTCCTAAAAAAGTGAGGGGAAGAGTGTAGGACAAATGCAAAATAAAATAACACATTTAGCTATACTTTTAGTATTTTTTATTATTGAGATTCAATATTTAAGTGACCGATTCAAGATTCTTTTATATAAAAAATGAATATATGCATAAGTAACTGTGATAAGAACTGTGGATGGATAAGAGCACTTTTCTGATGTACTGCAGCATAACCAGAACTGCTGTCGGTCTGAACGGTGTGTTATCTGGGCCTGTTTCTTGTGTCAGGGGGATCACATGCCGTCACTCTGGAGTGCCTCAATAGCTTGTAACTAGAAAGAGAAGGTATAGAAAGAGTAGTTTACTTACCTGTTTATTTATTTAGAGACAGAGTCTTGCTCTGTTGCCCAGGCTGGAGTGCAGTGGCACAATCTCAGCTCATTGCAATCTCTACCTCCTGGGTTCAAGCAAATCTCCTGCCTCAGCTTCCCGAGTAGCTGGGATTACAGGCATGTGCCACCACTCCCGGCTAATTTTTGTATTTTTAGTAGAGACAGGGTTTTACTGTGTTGGCCAGGCATGTCTCGCACTCCTGACCTCAAGTAATCCGGCTGCCTCCGTCTCCCAGAGTGCTGGGATTACAGGTGTGAGCCACCGCTACTGGACGGGAGGAGAAATTTAAAATGGGTTTGAGACTTGAGGAACCAAAAGAAACAATGAAACCATTCAATGTGTGTGCTCCTGTCAAGCTAGCAGCGATCTTGGGAGCTCTGTGTTTTTGTCTTTTGCAGTTCCTTCCTCAGAGATCACCTATGGGATGGTCGTGGCAGACCTGTTCCACTCCTTGTTGGCAGTCAGCGCAGAACCTTGTGTATTAAAGATTCAGAGCCTTTTTGTGTTAGATGAAAACAGCTATCCATTACAACAAGATTTCTCCCTCCTGGATTTTTATCCTGACATTGTAAAGCATGGAGCCAATGCCCGTCTCTGAGGCCAGAGGAAGAAATTGCAGGCATTTCAAGGAAGAAGTACTGAAATGATTTGTCTTTTGAAATAAATGAATGACAGGGCTTTTGCTTTGGATTTTTTATGAAATATATTTTACAAAGAGAATTGCACTAGATATATAAATTAAAACTTTTTTCTAAGAAAATCCTGTGAGGTTTAAAAAGATTGTTTTTGTCTTTTGGTTTCTTACTTTCTCCTGGAGAAATGATCTACCAGTCAAGGCAATATGTAGCAGATCCCTGGGAATTAAAGGTTTGCCCATTTGTTCACTGTATTTAGTCCCTGCTACATTCCAGGCATTGTACTAAGTATGGGGAACCACAGAGAAGACATTCCCTCAGAAACTGCTGCAGTGCTTTCGCTTATCCCTACCTAAAAAACCGTCAATGTGAAATCATTTCCTTGATTATAACTATAATGATAATGGATTAGTTTATATAAACCTATGTTTAGACAAGTTCAAGACAAGCGTGTCTTTCTATAAAAAGTATTGAAAATGAAGGAAATGAGATCATGTTTCAATTTATTAAAGCAGGGAAGAGCGTTCTGTGCTTAGTTCGTGTCTAGGATTTGAGTGCCTTACTGAATGCATTTACCAGCAAACATGTAGCAATCTGTTCTCTCATTGTGATTGTGGAAGAAGCTCATGTAAAATGATAGTCATTAATGAGGAAGTATGGCGTGGTACTTATTCTGTAAGTTCAGAGTATGCTGAGTGTTAATAGATTATCATATTGCCTGAAAATAAATTCATGATGACATGAACAAGCTTCTTTTACTCTGTGTATGTTTTTAAAAATTCCTTTGGTTCAGAGGTGGTGGTTGTTTTTTAACTTGGCTTCCCTAAGAATGAACCACAAGAGTTTTGTGATTCTTTCAAAAATAATATGCCAAAATGACTTTGTGGGAGCACACACACACAACTGCATGTTTCTGTGGAGAAGGATCCATAGCTTTCAACAAATCCTCAGAGGGTTCTGTGACCAAGAAAGGTAAGAACAAGGCTTTAACTGATGAGTTTCTTTGTGGGGGAGATAAGGGAATTAGAGCAAATGATTGCCAAAGTTTTGTCTAGCAACTAATAAGGTGGGTACAGAAAGAATTGACTCCATTTTGTATCTAGAGAGACTGGAATTCAAACAAAATCATTGGCTCCCTTCAATGATTCGTTGAATGGGTGATGAAACTTGAGCCTGTAGTTGACACCTTCTAATCTGTGCTCTCTCAACTATAACCACACTAGGCGGATATTTGGAATTCTGATATAAAATCTGCCCAGTCAATATAGGCCAACCAAGAGAGCTGTTCGCTTAAGTGTGCCCTTCCCCACTTTGTCCTCAAGTGGAGACCTAATCCCTACATCAACCAGAACATAATCCCCAGGAACAGATGGCTCTTCACATCCTATTGGGAAGAAATCTTTAAACCATTTCAGGTGAGTCAACAGATCACACCAACATCTCTTCACAGTTGTTGGTATGTATTTCATTCATTAACACATATTTCCAGGAGCCCTTATTTAGGTTGGGAACTGTTTCCTCCAATCCTGAGGAATCTGAGCTATCTACAGAAGTTATGAGCTATTTAAGTGGGATCAGGATCAGCCCATTGCTCCTGCTATGGTCTGAATGTGTCCTCCCAAAATTCTTACGTTGAAACCTCATCTCTGATGGCATTCAGAAGTGGGGCATCTGGGAGGTGATTAGGTCATGAGGGCTTTGCCCTTGTGAATGGGATCAGTGCCCTTACGGAAGTGGCCCGAGGGAGCTTCTTTGTCCCCTTCTGCCACAGGATACAGCCAGAAGGTGTCATCTTTGAAGCAGAGAGCAAGCCCTCACTAGATTCTCAATTTTCTGGCACCTTGATCATCCCAGCCTTCAAACTGTAAAAAATAAGTTTCTGTTACTTATAAATTGCCCAGTCTGTTATTTTGTTATAGCACCCAGAACGGACTAAGACACCTTCTGTGTGTATTCTTTACCTGAGTTGACAAGTAAGTGTCTTTATTCTGTTATGTTTTCATAAAACTCAGTGGGGTAGCCAGAGTGTCATCCAGCAGTCCCATATCTGGCAGTCTTATGGTGGGCATTTCAGGGAGACCTCATTCTTCATCTTCTGATAGTTCAGCTTGCAGGGACAGCTCTCCTATTTTTAGAGAACCATTTTTATTTGTTAGTCACTTAGTTTCCCCAAAGGTATCCTTTTTCTAAAAGCGTTAGAGGCATTCACCTTTCTCCCCACTAGTAAGATCTGTGCTGTTTCATTTTACATCTTTTTTTTTTGGTTGGGGGAAAGGGGGCTGATCATCAAATGAGTTGACAACATTGGGTGCATGATCCACCCTGCAGACGTTCGCTGAATGTCTACCATGTGCTAGGTACTGGGAATGCAAAGACACAAATGTCTGCCTTCTGTAAGTTCACAGGCAAGCTGGTGAAGAAATATTTAAACAAAATTATATCAGCGCCAGGATTAAATCTGTGTGGAATACAGAGCCAAGGCAAAAGAGGTAACAGTAGGATGGGTTTGTTAGTCGTGACTCTTGGTTGCAAGTGATAAAAACCCAACTCAGAGTAGCTTGAGCAAAAAAGGGGGACTTGATTGACTCACATAAATGAGGGTAGTACCAGCTTAAGGCACAGTTGAATCCATTGGCCTAAATTACCTGGTTACCCCAACTCCCTAATTTATCTTTCTTTCTTTTTTCTTTCTCTCTCCCTCTCTCTCTCTCTCTCTGTCTCTCTCATCAGAAGAGGTCTTTTACGCTGTTATTGCAAAAGCATAGATGTTTCTACAGAGTTTTGATAGGATAACATTTTCACAGTGATTATAAATTTACATCATCCCTAGAATTCTAAACTACTGGGATCTGAGGCCGTAAGGTGTTTAAGAGTATTCTGACATTACCTTAGATTCAGCAAAACTTGAATAGTTGATCATGCCTTTCTTAGAAGAAAATATCTGTAATTTCTCAGAACAATATAGAATGAGACAGAAAAACTAACCATCCCTATGTGTCTTATTTTAAGTGATATATTTGTATCCTGATGGGTTTCTAGGTGTTGGAACACAGGTCATGAATCATAGAACAATTAGAATAAAGTGTTCGTCTTTATCAGTAGCTTAATTCTGGCCCTTCATTTAATGTCAACAGGGTAGAAATGTGTGAGAGGGGATGAGGTTTGCCAATTAATTGTCATTATGTCTTTGGAGGTCTTGAACCTGATTTGTTATTATGAAGTGAATTCTACCCACTTAAGGCATACATTTGCTAAAGGTGACCTCTCTGCTTCCACGTTGTTAAGAAATCGTGATTTTTTTCAAAACCATCATCAGCTTTACAGTTTTTGAGGAAAGATCTAGAAGCCTGTTAAAATGGAGTTACCAGGCAGGGTTCAGCCCAGGAAACCGAAGCCACTCTGGGAATTCTAAACAGAGAGAGATTAATGTGGAATTCAGGTGTTTGCAAAGGTATTGGAAGGCTGGAGGAGCAGGCATCAGTCTGAGCTCCAGGAGGCTGCCACGTGAACGGTGGATTCATGAAAACATCACCATTGGCTGCCATCTTAGACTGAGGATGCAGCTGCTGCCATCCTGGCAACTGACTCTCAAGCACATGGAAGCTGGGAGTTAGTTGCTGCTGCCCAAAACTCAGTCCCCACAGCTACACTTGCCAGGAACAGTAGCTTCAGGAAGATAGCCTGGATTTCACTCATCTTCCATATTGCACATGTGTGTGTTTCATTGATGGAACATGATTCACACTGAGAGCTTTAGCTGCAAGAAAGTTTGGGAAATATGTCTTCTCTGAGGCTTTTGGTCTTTGCAGTTCAGGAGCAGTTAGGAGGTGGGACTGGTTGGTTGCAGAGTGAGCTGATTTACTGCACTTAGTCTAGCTTATTAAAGGATGAGCTTATAAACACCCCAGGTAATATCATAATACATAAGTGCTACCTAATTACTGTGTGGGTCTGTTACCAAGAATGTCTAAGTCAAGAAATTGAAGATTGTTTCCTTAAGATTCTGCATCCTAATGTAGAATCTTTCCTATTAGAGTATAAGTAAATTCTTTTGGTATGTTATTTAAGAATATTTGTGAATAGGCTTAATTAAACACCATGTTAAGAAATTATAAACTTAAGGCCAGGCACAGTGGCTCACGCCTATAATCCCAGCACTCTGGGAGGCTGAGGCGGGCAGATCACTTGAGGTCAGGAGTTCGAGACCAGCCTGGCCAACATGGTGAAACCTCATCTCTACTAAAAATACAAAAGTTAGCCAGGCGTGGTGGTGCACACCTGTAATCCCAGCTACTTGGGAGGCTGAGGCAGGAGAATTGCTTGAACCTGGGAGGTGGAGCTTGCAGTGACCTGAGATCACGCCAGTGCACTCTAGCCTGGGCGACAGAGTGAGACTCTGTTTAAAAAAAAAAAAAAATTATAAACTTAAAAAAAAGAACGTTTTCCTTTAAACAAAAATGCATGTTCCTTGTTTTTTGTTTTGTTTTGCTTTGCCTTTTTTGAGAGACAGTCTTGCTCTGTCACCCAGGCTGGAGTACAGTGGCACAATTATGGCTCACTGTAGCCTCTACCTCCTGGGCGCAAGCAATCCTTCCACCTCAGCCTCCCTGGTAGCTGGAACTGTAAGTGCAGACCACAACAACTGATTTTTTATTTTTTGTAGAGACAGGGTCTCCCTACGTTGCCCAGGCTGGTCTTGAGCTCCTGGACTCAATCGACCCTCTTGCCTTGGCCTCCCAAAGTGCTAGGACTATAGGCATGAGCCACTGCACCAGGCCGTTTCTTTTTTTTTTAAACTTTGGAAAATATGGATGAACGAAGTGAGAAAAGTAACCCTTCTGTTATTCTACCAACCAAAGCTAATTGCTGCCAACATTTTAATAGATATTCCTTCAGTTGTTTTATGCATGTGTGATTTTATACATGTGTCTACTTTAAAATATATAGTCTTTCAATGTTGCCCAGGCTGGACTCAAACTCCTGGGCTCAAGTGATCCATCACCTCAGCCTCCTGCATGTATCTACATCTTATTTTATTTTATTTTTAGAGACACTCTGTTAACCAGGTTGGAGTGCAGTGGTGTGATCATGGCTCACTGCAGCCTCAACCTCCCTGGGCTCAAGTGATCCTCCTGCCTCAGCTTCCTATGAGTAGCTGGGACTACAGGCATATGCCTCCATACCTGGATACTTTTTGTATTTTTTGTAGAGACATGTTTTTGCCATGTTGCCCAGGCTGGTCTAAACTCCTGGCCTCAAGTGATCCCCTTTGCCTCAGCCTCCCAAAGTGCTGCGATTACAGGTGTAGACTACCACGTCTGGCCAACATTCTCATTGATAGTCTTTGCACACATCTTTCATTCCTTCTGGGAATTTATTCTAAGAAAATAGAATTTTGGGGTCAAAGTACTTGTACGTATGTATCTGTACCAGGAAAAAAGCAGAAATTCCAGTATCAACAGATAACGAGAGCCAAGCAAGGTGGTACATGCCTGTAGTCCCAGCTACTCAGGAGGCTGAGGCGGGAGGATTGTGTGGCATGAGCCCAGGAGTTAGAGGCTACAGTGAGCTATGATTGCACCACTGTACTCCAGCCTGGGCAATACAGCAAGACCCTGTCTCTGAAAAAACAAAACAAAACAGATAACCATTGTTACTATTTTGTTGAACATTTTCCAGATACCCTGATAGAAGACAGATCTGTGCATGCACATACACAATTTTACATAAATGGGACCATTCCATATAGGCCAGTATCTAGTGAGTACTTTTTTTACTCCACAATTTGCCATATATGTCTTTCCAAATCAATCAACATAGATTAAATCATATCAACTACACAGGATTCCATCATCTGTGTGTGCTCTTGAATCCTACTTTTAAAATGTTCTCAGAAAGGTTATCCTGAAATATATTCCTATCAGAAGTTTTCCACACTCTCTCTAAACTGAATGGCATAAGTAAAAGACTAGTTGTTAGGTTTAAAAAAGGTTATCTGTTTTAATTGGAATTTTTTTTTTGAGGTTTTCTTTTTCTTTTTTCTTTTTCTTTTCTTTTTGAGACACAGTTTCACTCTGTCACCCAGGCTGGAGTGCAGTGGTGCGATCTTGGCTCACTGCAACATCTGCCTCCTGGGTTCAAGCGATTCTCCAGCCTCAGCCTCCTGAGTAGCTGGGATTACAGGTGCGCACCACCATGCCCAGCTAGTTTTTGTATTTTTGGTAGAGACAGGATTTTGCCATGTTGGCCAGGCTAGTCTTGAACTTCTGGCCTCAAGTGATCTGCCTGCCTCAGCCTCCCAAAGTATTGAGGCTACAGGTGTGAACCACTGCGCCCAGCCTTAATTGAATTATTTTTTTGCTAAAGTGATTGTACATTTGTTTCATATGCTTATCAGTCATTTGCAGTTTGCTTTTTCATATTTTACCTTAGACCATTTTTATTTGGGAGAAGCCTTTTATTAAATTAGTATGTTCTCCTTATAAAGTTAGTAATTTTTAACATGTGTTGCAGACATTTTTCCCAAGCTTGTTATATATGTTTTGACATGCAGAAATCATAAATATTTACGTGGATCAACCCATCAATCTTTTTCTTTATTGTTTCTAGATTTTATGACATGCCTAGATAGCTTCTTTTCTACTATAAGATTATACACATTTTCTTCAAAAAATTTTTTGAAACATTTATGATTGTTATATTTGTATTTAAATCTTTAATTATCTAAAATTTAGTGCATGGTATGAATGGATCTAACTGATTCATTTTCCTAAAATGGTCAGCTGGTTGTCCCAACACTATTGATTTCTTTCTTTCCCATCAGTGACGTAGATGTGATCTTTATTATAATATGAAATTATTATTCCTGCTAGCATTACCTGTGGACTTTCTAGTCTGTTTCATTGTTCTATATTTATTGCTGAGCCAGAACCATACAGTTAGAATTATTATAACTTTACATCTGATAGGAAAAGTACCCCATATTTTTCTTCATTAAAATTGTTTTTCTCAGACATCTTTGCCCATCTGTTCTTTTTTATTCCCCATTACGAGTATATGTTGCAGTGTTTTTTAGTATATTCAGAGTGTGTGACCATCAGCACACTCAATTTTGGAACATTTCATCACCCCCAAAACAATCATCCATAGTTACATTAACTATACCACCCCACAGCTCTTCCTTAAGAGGAGCTAACAGTCGCTCCTCCATAACCACCCTCTTTCCCCCAACCCTAGGTAACCACTCTTCTACTTAGTGGCTGTATAGATTTCACTATTCTGACATTTCACATGAATGGAATCATACAATATGTGGTCCTTTGTAACTGATTTCTTTCACTCGGTATAGTGTTTTCAAGGTTCACACATGTAGCATGTATCACTACTTCATTGTTTTTATTGCCAAATAATATTCCATTGTATGGATATACCACATTTTATGTATCTATTCATCAGTTGGTGGACAACTGAGTTTTTCCCACTTTTTGGCTATTTTTAATTATACTATCATGAACATTTGTGTGCAAGTCTTTGTGTGGATGTATATTTTCATTTCTCTTGGGTATGTACCCAGGAGTGGAATTGCTGGGTTGTATGGTTTAACCATTTGAGGAACTGCCAAACTTTTCTAATGCAGGTGCACTATTTTACATTCCCATGAGAATGCATTGGAGTTCTGATTTCTCCACATCCTCACCAGCACTTTTTATTATTATCTGACTTTTTGATTATAGCCATCCTAGTGGGCATGCCATCTGTTCTTGAGATAAGTTTAGAATCATTTTTATCCCATTGATATTTTTAATGAGATTGCTTTGAATTTATGGATCATTTGGACATGTTTTCAGTGGTTAAGGCTTACTATTTAAGAAGAGCATGCTTTTTCAATTAATAAAGTATTCTTTAATGTTCCTTAGCTTTAGCTTTATTTAGCAGTCCACATTTAAAGGGTATTAACTATGGAAATTTTTTTTTTTTTGATACAGGGTCTCACTCTGTTGCCCAGGCTGGAGTGCAGTGGTATGATCTCAGCTCACTGCAACCTCTGCCTCTCAGGCTCAAGCTATCCTCCCACCTCAGCCTCTTTGGTAACTGGGGCTACAGGCATGTGCCACCACACCTGGATAATTTTTGTATTTTTTGTAGAGATGGAGTTTTGCCATGTTGCCCAGGCTGGTCTGGAACTCCTGGGCTCAAGCAATCCACCTGCCTCAGCCTCCCAAAGTGCTTGGATTACAGGTATGAGCCATCAACCAGTTTTTTTGTTTTTTTAAATCATTGATTTCAACTATGCTCTGTTGAATCCCTTTTCCATCCCCTCATGTCTCACATGCCTCACATAACTTCCCAGGCATTGTGTTTTAGAAAGTCTGGTATTGTTTAAATTCCAGCCTCATTTTGCTCTTCTCCAGAGCATGTCCAGCTAGTCACTAAAGGGACTTGGAATGGGGAGGAGATAGGTGCACTCTTCCTTTCCTTTGACTCCAGCTGTTGGAGCTGGAGGGAGGGCGTGAACTGTCACCGAGGTGAATTCTCCCCATTCCTTCCCAGCTTCCTGAGGCCTAGCTCCTCCAGTGAGCTGGGGAGGGAGAAAAGAAGGAAAGGGGACAGTGGTACTTACCAGGCAGCTACCACTGTGGTCCTCTCCTTTGATGGACTCTGCTTTTCTAGCCAGTACTTAACTGCTGATGCCTTCTGTGCAGCAGGCGTTGAGTACTCCTCTTTCTGGGGTCCATGTGAGAGTTCTTTCAGAGCTCACTCTTCTATGTACTCTATGTACTCACTCTATCATATGTACACAGTTGTTTTCATGGGAGATGCAGCTCTGTCTGGTCTTTCCTGCCCCCTCCACTCTCTCCAACTGTACCTCCTTTCTCCATCTTGCAATCTCTCTCTGATTCACTTCACTCGTGCTCAGACAGGCATGGAGAGCAGGTCAGCAAATTCTTCACACTATCAGACTTTAGACAAGCTAAGGAATTGTCCTTCTCTGCATACTGTATATAGCACAGTTTGATTTATGTAACATCCTAATCATACTGTCTGGAAGAATCTTACCAAAATGATATCATTATTCCCCTACATGGGGAATTAGGGCTTGATTTTACCTTCTTTATTATAATTATTTTTACTTGATCAAATTACTAGGAAATATTCCCTCACTTCTAAAGAATACAATTTCCCTGTGTTAGAAAGATCAGTCCCGGTGTGGTGGCTCACTCCCATAATCCCTGTACCTTGGGAGCCTGAGACGGGAGGATTGCTTGAGGCCAGGAATTGGAGACCAGCCTGGACAACATAGCAAGATCTTGTCTCTATAAAACACTAAAAAAAAAAAAAATTAGCCAGGCATGGTGACACACTACTCAGGAGGCTGAGGCAGGAAGATCACTTGAGCCCGGAAGTTTGAGGCTGCAGTGAGCTATGATCTGCCACTACACTCCAGCCTGGATGACAAAGCGAGACCCTGTCTCTAAAAAATAAAAACAACAACAAACATACATAAATAAAGAGATCACATCCAAATAATAGAAAAAGATGATATGGTTTTGGTCCCCAAAACTGACATCACGTAGGAGATATTGGAACTTTGTGGGTGGGAGCCAAGCCCATGCTGGTGCCCCTTCTCTAGGTCACGTCTATACTGCTTGTTTGGATTCCTTGGCAAAAACTGACTATGCAAAGACAGTAGGATGCCTGACTCAAATTGGGTCAATCAGATCCTTTTTCTTGGAATTTAAAAAAAAATTGCATGAAAACGTATAGTTAAATGCACAGGTCTTAAGTGTACAATTTAGAGTTTTGACAAATATATACATTCATGTAACTGAACCCCAAACAAGATATGGAGCATTTCCATCACCCTAGAATTTTCGTTCATCTCCACTTCCAGTCAGTCTCCATCCATGATGGCCAACCACCATTCTGATTTCTATCACTATACACTAGTTTGATCTGTGTTTGGACTTCATGTAAATGAAATCATACAGTATATATTCCTTTGTAACTGGCTTTTTTTAACCTAAGAATGTTTTTCAGGCTTATCCATATTTTTATGTGAATCAGCAGTTTATTCATTTTTATTGTTCAGTAATATATCAATGTGTGAATATATTATCCATTCGTCTGTTGAAGTCATTTGAGTTCTTTCCAGTTTCGAACTATTATGAATAAAGCTGCTAAAAACATTTTTAAAACAAGTCTTGTTGTGGACGTAAGTTTTTGTTGGGGCAGGGATTTAAATAGCTCGGACTGAGATTGTCAGTTTATTGGATAAGTATATATTTAACTTGAGAAGAATCTGCCAAACAGTGCTCCAAAGTTGTGCAATTTTACACTCTCCGCAGCCAAAACGGAGGCTTCCAGTTGTTGTACATCCTTGCCAATATTTGAGATGTCAGTCATTTTCACTGTAGCCATTCTAGAGGCGGTAAAGTGGAACCTCCTGGTTTTGGTTTCTCTTTCACTGATGACTAATGACGCACAACTTTTCATGTGCTCATTGGCCATTTGTATACCTTCATTTGTGAAGTGTCTCTCAAGTCATCTGCACATTTATCTTATTGGGTTGTTTGTCTTTTTACTGATCAGACATATGTATTCTAGATAAAAGTCAGATATATGTATTATTGATATTTCAAAGCATTTTGTTCAGCAGTAGAAATGCTGGCTATATGATTTGAGAATAAAAATACGTATGTAATTGTAACAGGAAGTCTTAAATAAATTAAAATGTCACTATTTTGAATAACTAGAATATATATTAAGAAAAATAATCCCAGGAAATAAAAAATATGCTAGTAATAATTACACATAACAGATTTACAAAATTATATTACCATATAACAGTAATACATAATTCTAAATAAAAATAATCATGCTCACAGATAAAACCAAAAACTTTAAGAGCTTAATTTATTGAAAGCAAATGATTTAAATATCATGAGGGAAATAAAAGGAGACAAGAATTAGTGGAACACTCTACTGTGCTCCTGCTGTTTGGGAAGATGTACTATACAGAGTTAATTCAACAATAAACAAAGTCCCTGAGGGATGGCCTATACGAGTTGACAAGTTGATTTAAAAATTAATTGAGGGAATTAAACAGAAATGTAAATATTCCAATAACCATCGAATTATACATTTTAAATGGATGAATCATATATGTGAATTATATCTCAATAAAACGATTATAAAAAAAGAATAAACAGGGAATTTTTTTCTTTTTGAGACAGAGTTTTGCTCTTGTTGCCCAGGCTGGAGTGCAATGGCATGATCTTGGCTCACCGCAACCTCCACCTCTCAGGTTCAAGCAATTCTTCTGCCTCAGCCTCCCGAGTAGCTGGGATTACAGGCATGCGCCTCCATGCCTGGCTAATTTTGTATTTTTAATAGAGATGGGGTTTCTCCATGTTGGCCAGACTGGTCTCAGACTCTCAGGCTTAGGTGAACCTCCCGCCTCGCTCTCCCAAAGTGCTGGGATTACAGGCGTGAGCCACTGCGCCTGGCCTAACAACAGGGAAATATTTTTCAAGTTAAAGCAAAAAAACAAGGTAAGCCAAGTAAAACTATATAAAAATATATGATTTTGGTGTTTACAGTGCATTGGGTAAAAAATCTTACTCAGAAACAGTATGTAAAATATTTCGTTTTTAGAAAACCATACATTAAATCAATGGAGAGTGGCCAAAAAATTTTAACACTGTTTATCTCAAGGAGCTACAACTATGGTAAATATTTTCCTTAATAATGAAATGTGGAAACATTCCTGAGAACAGAAATAAGACGAAGATGTCCATTATCATCACTTGTATTCAATACTTTCCTGGTATTCCTAACAAGAGTAATAAGGCAAAAAAGTTGAAATAAAAATACTAAGATTGGACCTAAGATACAAAACTATGTATGTATTATTAACAACTCAAAAGAATCCAGAGACAAGTTATTAGAATTAGTGAGTTTAGCATGACTGAATAAATGGTCAAAATAGGAAAACCAACTTTATTTCTGTACACCAGCAAGAGTTAGAAAATAAAACATTTTAAAACAATACCATTTATGGTAGCATAAAAATTCAAATGTCTGGGGAAAAATTTAATGAAAAGATGTCCATGACACTTTATTATTTAGAGAAATGAGAGAAGAGGTAAATAAACAGAAGTACATACCATGTGAACTGATTAGATGACCCAGTATTTTAAAGATGTCAATTCTCCCCTGAATTGACTTATAAACTCAGTGCAACCCCAGGCGCAGTGCCTCACGCCTGTAATCCCAGCACTTTGGGAGGCTGAGGCGGGCAGATCACGAGGTCAGGAGATCGAGACCATCCTGGTTAACACGGTGAAACCCCCGTCTCTACTAAAAAAAAAAAAAATACAAAAAATAAGCCGGGCGTGATGGCGGGCGCCTGTAGTCCCAGCTACTCGGGAGGCTGAGGCAGGAGAATGGCGTGAACCCGGGAGGCGGAGCTTGCAGTGAGCCAAGATCAGGCCACTGCACTCCAGCCTGGGCGACAGAGCAAGACTCCGTCTCAAAAAAAAAAAGAAAAGGAAAAAGAAGAAAATCTCAATGCAATCCCAACCAAAATCACAACAGGCTTCATATATATGTGTGTGTGTGTGTGTGTGTGTGTGTGTGTGTGTGTGAGAGAGAGAGAGAGAGAGAGAGAGAAGTTGCATGGTTAGGTGGTAAAAGCAGTGTTTGCCATAAAAATCAGGTCGTTGGTTATTTTGGTTATTTTGGTGGGGAGGGAGAGGTAGTGTTTGGAAGGGGACACGCTGGAAGGTTTTGGGACGCATGGTATACCCGTTGTCAATGTATGGCCTCGCACCTCCAAATCCATCCTTTAATACCTGCTCTGCGGTCACAGCCAGAATCCCCTTCCGCGGCTCCCCTCGCGGCGGGGAGGATGCTGAACAGTAGAGGGCGCTGGAGACACGCTGCGGGAGGCTGGCGCTCGGGTCCGGCTGCGGGCCACAGGCCGCGGATCGCGTTCTGCCAGCGCCCCACGCCCGCAAGCGCGGCCCCTCCGCCACCTCGCGGCCCGGCCTGACCTGTTAATCACGTCCCCACGGCTCTTCTAGCGGGGACACCGCCGTCTGCAGGCTCCGTCCCCACCGTGCCCAGACCCCGGGAAGTTTGTCAGTCAGCACCCTGATGCCAGCCGATTCTCAAAAAGCCAGGAGGATCCAAGCAGATCATTTGCCAGACGGTACTGCAGCAATGGAGATGAACAGATAATTCACACAGAAAGAAGGATGGTAGGGAGAGACGTGCGGGGGGTAGGGAGGGCGGAAGGAAGGTCTAGGGGAAGGAGCGGAGGGGGAAGGGAGGAAGGAAGGCAGGAATGGAATGAAAGGAGAAGGGAGGAAGGACTCGTTGAATGCACAGCCTCCCCGGTGCTGCAGCGGCAGGAGCGGCTCTCACAGGCATGGGGCCCCCAGCAGACCCTACCAGGCTGCGGGAATGTTGCGGCCCTGCAGGGCGTCTCTGTCTTTTTTGAGGTGTCTCTGGTAATATGTGATAATGATAGTATTTTTAGACATTTGGAATGTGATTTAAATTCTAGCTCCACCACCTTCTAGCTGTGGGACCCTGAGAAACAGCACATCCTCCCAGATCCTCCCTTCTCTCTTGTCCACACGTGGGGAAGGCTCCTGGCGGGGTGGGGATTGGGGGTGGTGGGAGGGGGGAAGGTGGGGGGCTTTGCAGATTTACCAAGCTGATGTACAAAGACCTACTACAGCTGTAAGGGCTAGCTCCTTTCTCCCACTCTGGCAGTCACTCCACTTTGAGAAACATACCTCTTGAAATAAAGCTACAAGTGGAGAGGGGCAGGTGATTTGGGCAAATAATTCCATACTAAATATTAGGACAAAACATCCTAGGCAAATATCACAATCCGGAGTCATAGTGGCATACTAAATTCAACCAAGAAATATACCCATGATGTTGAAAGAGCCAGGCTTATGGAATGTAAACAGCAAACTATTTTATTCTTGTTTTCTATTTACCAATTCAAACTTGCTCTGCAGGTCACTCCTCCCTGCCCCTGGGATAAAATCTAGGGCATGTTCTGTGACTTTCTGGATCACAAAATTCACATGATTTTTGGATCATTCTCAGTTAACCAAAAATTTGTCCTGTAACTTCTAGCTATAAAAATAGGCTCTGTTCAGCATTTAAAATGTCCAATCCCATGTAGGAGTCTAAACTTTCGATTTCATTTTAAGTTTAAGCTTCCTCTTGATTCCTCCCCCAAGCCTGGCCCAGGCTTGCATTTGGCTTCAGGCATTGGGCGGGTAGCAGTGTTTCCTCTCCATTTTTCACTTTCACTCTTCCCTCCCCAACTAGCTTGCAGGGATTTCTGATCACCTAGTAGAGTCTAGAGGCGTAAGGGAAGGAGGTCACCAAGGGGCAGGCCAGGCTTTATGTGAATAGTGCTGTTGTGAGCCAAGTACTTGAGTACTTCGAGGTCCCCTTCTACTGCAGACATCTTCCCTATGGTTCCTGTGACCCAGGTTTGTCTCAGAGTGGGGTTAGCACACGGTACCATCTCCATCCCCTTTAAAAGTATTTATTACATTTTTCTGGAAATGGAAGTCTGGAAATTATATTTCCCTGATAGTCTTATGAGCAGGATTCCAGGTTGATTCTGCCAAATGTGAGGCACTCAGGTGAGACTAGAAAGCAGAAAGATGGTTTAAAAAATCATCGTTTTCTTCCTTTGACTCTGCACTTACGACAGCAGGATGCTCGAGACTCTTGCAGTAATTTGGGCAAAGATTTCCACAGTGCAAAATAGAAAAAACAACTGGCAAATAGCTGTACAAATTACAGTCCATTTTCATCATGGAATGTCAGTTTGGCAACAATGGCATCGAGGCCCCAAAGCAGCTCTGCAGTAGGGGGGTTCCTCCTTGGTGACTGGATGGGCACAGCCAAGCACAGGCTCCTGAAGATCCCAGCTCCAGGAAACATCAGCATGGTTCATTGCATTGTCCACCTGAATTCTTCACCCCTCCCTGTGGCTGTGTCCATTGCCCTGTAGTGTTGCAGTTCCCCTCAGGAAAAAGATATCATTTACTTCTCTGACCCTTGATTTGGAGCTTGGCTATGTGACGTGCTTTGGCCAATGGGATATTGGATGACACAACATAAGGAGAGACACAGATATGCATATGCACAATGCAGCTTGCCTTTTTATGCTTCTCCCTTCACCACGAAAAGAGCTTTCCCTGGGGGTAGCAGCTGTCCCTGCAGCCTGTGTTCAGAATGCACAAATGTGAGGAGCCAAGCCCAGCCAGCTTGAAAGTGAGTTGCCAGGCCCGGCGCAGTGGCTCACACCTGTAATCCCAGCACTTTGGGGGGCCGAGACAGGCAGATCACCTGAGGTCCGGAGTTCGAGACGAGCCTGACCAACATGGAGAAACCCAGTCTCTACTAAAAAATACAAAATTAGGCCTGGCGCAGTGGCTCACGCCTGTAATCTCAGCACTTTGGGAGGCCGAGGCAGGCGGATTACCTGAGGTCGGGAGTTCGAGACCAGCCTGGCCAACATGGAGAAACCCCGTTTCTACTAAAAATACAAAAGTAGCCGGGCGTGGTGGCACATGCCTGTAATCCCAGCTACTTGGGAGGCTAAGGCAGGAGAATCGCTTGAACCCGGGAGGCAGAGGTTGCGGTGAGCCGAGATCACGCCATTGCACTCCAGCCTGGGCAACAAGAGCAAAACTCCGTTGAAAGAAAGAAAGGAAAGAAAGGAAGGAAGGCAGACAAAATTAGCCGGGCGTGGTAGCGCATGCCTGTAATCCCAGCTACTCAGGAGACTGAGGCAGGAGAATCACTTGAACCTGGGAGGTGGAGGTTGCAGTGAGCTGAGATGGTGCCATTGCACTCCAGCCTGGGCAACAAGAGTGAAACTTTAAAAAAAAAAAAAAAAAAAGTGAGTTGCCTACCCTAGCTCAGACCACCTCCAGCCAACCCACAGATGTGTTAGAAATGAGTGCTTATTTAAGTATGGCATTGACATGTTGTGATTAGTTGTTATGCACCATTATAGCAAAAAAATTGCACACTGATAAAAGTAACTGTTCCCTCGTTGGCTTCACCAGCTTTCCCAAGAATTGTTTAATCCCATTCCGTGTATAAAATCACTCTCTGCTGAGAATCCTTTTTCTGAGAAAAGAATTCTGAGATTTTTTTTTCTGCTTGAGGCAGACCAACACTCATTCCAAGAACAACTGGAAAGGCTGAATAAAACACAGAAAACTTTTTTAAAAAGTTTTTTGAAAGCTTCCCAGTTAACAAACATTTGAAGGGCCATAATCTCAAAAGAAGAAAAACACAAGGAGGCAAGCTGGCCCTCTGTGAACTACTTTTCCTTTCAGGAAACGTGCTGATTTTAGCTAAGAGGCCGAGCATTTGGGCAGACGGCCATAGCTAAGAGGCAGCAAAGTCAGCAGAGTCTTCAGCTGGAGAGACAAGAAATGGAGACTGAGGTTGTCAAGGCAGCTGGAACTGAAGGGGCCGAGATATCATGTAGAAGGGAGACACAGAAAAGGAACACTTTCCCCTTGAGGCATCTGCTGAATTAAGCTATGCAGAAAGGCTATGAAAGGCAGCAGGTTTTGGCAGTGTCATATTAATGAGATAAAAGTTGGAGTTCAGGACCCACCAAGGAAAAGAAGCCTAATAATCACATCAGACGCTCAGCTGGAATCCTTGGAGGACCACACTCTAGATAGATGGGCAAACCAGAGATGGAGATGAAGCCTTCCAAAAACTGCAACATAGACTCTAGTCAGTTCAGTACCATTGGATTAAGGTAAAATCTTCCCACTCTGTCTATCAGATGACATGGTAAACCCTCCCTTGAGACAGACATTGTTTTCAGATAATGTTTCCTGGAGCCACTAAAATTTATTATAATGGTTAGCATTCAACAATAAGTGATCAAACACACCACAAAACAGGAAGGAGGGGAAAACAGACACAACAAAACGGAGCCACTAATGACCCAGATATTGGTGTTATCAGACACAGACTTGATGGGTGGAATAGAGACTTTCATCAAAGAACTGGAATCTATAAGAAAGAATGAAATGGAAATTTAAAACTTAAAAATACAATAACTGAAATTAAGTACTTAGCATATGGGTTAACTACAATTAGATTTAGCAGAAGGAACATTCTTTGAACTGTAATACAGGACAGAATAAAAACTCTAAGCTGAAAAACAGAGACAAAGAGTATGGAAAATACAGCAAAGAACATAAGATACTTGTGGGAAGTGGTGAACAGGCCTAATACATACGTAACTGGAGTCTTAGAAGAAGGGAGGAAGATGGGGCAGAAGGAACAGTTAAATAAATATAGGCTGAGAACTTTCCAAAACTGATAAAGCTTTATGATCCCCAAGCAGGATAAATAAAAACAAAACTGCATCCAGGCACACTATACTTTTTTATTATTATTATTTTTTGAGACGGAGTTTTTCTTTGTCACCCAGGCTGGAGTACGGTAGTGTGCGATCTCAGCTCACTGCAACCTCCGCCTCCCCAAGGTCCAGCGATTCTCCTGCCTCAGTCTCCTGAATAGCTGGGATTACAGGCACGCACCACCATGCCTGGCTAATTTTTGGATTTTTTAGTGGAGATGGGGTTTCACATGTTGGCCAGGTTGGTCCCGAATTCCTGACCTCAGGTGATCCACTGGCCTTGGCCTCCCAAAGTGCTGGGATTATAGGCGTGAGCCACCGCACCCGGCCCAGGCACACTATACTTAAACTGCTGCAAATGAAAGACAAGGAAAAAACATTAAAAGCAGCTAGAGGCAGGTAGGAGGGACACATTTCTTCTTTTCTTTTTTCTTTCCCCTCCCTCCCTCTCTCCTCCTTCCTGCCTCCCTCCTGTCGTTTTCTTTTGTAGAGTGGGGGATCTTGCTCTGTTGCCTGGGCTGGTTTTGAACTCCTGGGCTCAAGGGTGCTGGGATGACAGGCATGAGCCAGCGCACGTTACTGACACATTACTCTCAAAGGAGAAACAATAGCACTGAAAATCACTTGTCAACAGAAATGATGGAAGTGAGAAGATAATGGAGTGCCATTCTGAAGTTCCTCAAAGAAAAAAGTGTCAACCTGTAATCCTATATTCACAAAATATACTTAAAAATGAATTTGAAATAGATGTTTCTATTCAAAAACTGAGAAAGGCTGGGTGAGGTGGCCTGTAATCCCAGTCCTTTGGGAGGTCAAAGCAGGCAGATTGTTTGAGTTCTGGAGTTTGAGACCAGCCTGAGCAACATGGTGAAATCCCTTCTCTACAAAAAATACAAAAGAATTAGCCAGGTATGGTGGTGCCTGCCTGTAGTCCCGCTACTCGGGAGGCTGAGGTGGGAGGACTGCTTGAACCTAGGAGGTTGAGGCTACAGTGAACCATGATCATGCCACTGCACTCCAGCCTGGGCGACAGAGTGAGACCCTGTCTCAAAAACAAGCAAACAAAAAAACACAAAAAAACCTGAGAAAATTTGCTGTCAGCAGATGTGCATACACAAAAAATACTAAAGGGAATTCTTCAGGTAGAAGAAAACTGATCTATGATAGAATCACAGAAATGCAGGAAATAATAAAAAAAAACAGAGTGAATATGTGGGTGAATACAAATGAATATTGACTGCACATAGCAATAATAATAATGTCTCATTAGGTGTAAAATATATGTGAAATTAAAATGAGTAATAATAATATACATGCAAGAGTAGAATGGAGGTAAATAGAGATTGAGTATTGTGAGATCATAGCATTGTCTGGGAAACAATAAAAAGTAAAATTTGTATTAGATTATAATAATGTACAGAAGTTGTAATCTGTGGAGGAAACCACTGAAGAAATTATAAAAGAATGTGTAAGTAGAACCAATGGTAGGGGGGGAAACGGAATTAAAAAAATAATCAGAAAGAAAGCAACAGAAAAGAAAAAAATAAAAACAAAAATGGGTAAGACAAATGGAAACAAATAGTAAGATGGTATTTATGAACACAACTATATCAGTAATTACAATAAATGTAAATTCACGAAATACACAAAAGACAAAAATTGACAGACTTGATTAAAACAACTCTATTCAAGAGACATGACATCATTATAAGAACACTGAAAATTCAAAAATAAGGGGGAAAGTGAAAAAAATACCACTGTGAGTGGTAGAGAAAGCCATTTCACATAATAAAGGGTTCACTCTACCAGAAAACGTCAATTTTAAATGGGTATGAACCTAATAACACAATCTCTAAATGCATAAAACAAAAATTAACAAAACTCAAAGGAGAAATAAACAAATTCATAATAATAGTGGCGGGCTTTAGCCTCTCTCAGTAATTTATAGAAAAACAGACAAAAATATCAGTAAAGATGTAGATAATTTGACCAACCTGATTAACAAACTTGACCCAGTTGAAATACACATAACACCTGCACACAACTGCAGAATGCACATTCTTTCAAGTGCAAGAACATTATGATAAGAATATTATAGGAAAGTCTGTCATAAACATAGCTTATATAAAAATGTAACAGCAAATTAATCTAAATTTTATTTATTTATTTACTTATTTTATTTTTTTGTTTATACTTATGTCATAGTTTATATAAAAATATAACAGCAAATTAATCTAAATTTTATTTATTTATTTATTTACTTATTTTATTTTTGGAGACAGAGTCTCGCTTTGTTATCCAGGCTGTAGTGCAGTGGCGTGAACATGACTCACTTCAGCCTTAACCTCCTGGGCTCACGCAATACTCCTGCCCCAGCCCTCCAAGTAGCTGGGACAACAGGCATGTGACACCATACCTGGCTAATTTTTGTGGTTTTTGTAGAGACCGAGTTTCACCACGTTGGTCTCAAATTCCTGAGCTTAGACAATCTACCTGCCTTGGCCTTCCAAAGTGCTGGGATAATAGATGTGAGCCACTGAGCTTGACTTAAATCTAAATTTTATTTTATTTTATTTTATGGCCATGCTCCCTCTAATAAATCTAAATTTTAAATAAATAAGTCCAAGTATTATTGTGTTTATGTGTATAAACCTGTGCACACACACAAACGCGTACACACCCTGCTGGTTTCTATTACAAGAATGTTAAGTTTGGTTTGACATTCAACAGTCAATTAGTATAAGTCATCACATCCAAAGAATAAAGGAGAAAAATAAAATTATTTCAAAAGGTGCAGAATAAGTATTTGAGAGAAATTTAACCTCATTTGTAATTAAAAAAAATCTTTTTAACAGCTTGAGAATATATGTTAATGAGTACATTAAAAATCCTATAACAACCATCAAACTTCATGGTGAATATTGACAACTCTCCACATGCCACACCCACCACCCCTGAGATTGAGGATGAGACAAGAATACCCACTATCACTACTTATAGTCAGCATTCTGCTGGAGGTCCTAGCCACTGCAATTTGTATACCAATTTTATATCTTGCAACCTTGCTGAACTTATTAGCTCTAGTAGTTTTTTTGTGTGTGGATTCCTTAGGATTTTCCATAGACAAGATTATGTCATGTGCAGATATAGTTTTACTTCTTTCTTTATGATCTGGATCACTTTTATTTCTTTATCTTGTCCAATTGCTCAGCCCCTGCAGTTTGGCAAGAGCTAAATAAGGCATAAAGATTAAGAAAGGAAGAAATAAAACTGTCATTCACAGAGGACATGATTATACAAAAATAATCTGCAAATTATTATAATTTAAATGAATGTCACAAGGCCACTCACTGGATAACAAGGTCAACATAGTTTTGTAGCAACAGAATCTGTATATACTAGCCATAAACAAATATAAAACGTCTAAGAATAAATCTATTGAAGGATGTGCAAGAACACTTTACTGAAAACCACAAAAATAGTTCTGAGAAACATACAAAAGACTTAAAGTGAAGAGATATACCATGTTAATGAATAGGAAAATTGAATATTTTAATGATGTCAAATGGCCCCCAAATTGTTCTACATAATCAATTAAATCCAATAAAATTCTAGCACTTTATTTTGTGGAAATTGACTAGCTGATTCTAAAGTGTTTTATGGAAATGTAAAGGGCTTCTTTCTTCTGGAGTTGCCTTGTGGACAGGATTTGAGACAACCCAGGCCAGGTCTCTCTGGTCCATGGAAAGCATGTGTATGCTTTTTGCCCTGACTATGTCTGTAGAGAACAACCAAAACAACAACCTCCTCCCCATCAGAGAGCCAGCTAGTCTCTTGCCATTTAGATTTTTCAGGGATGAGTCAGAGATACCAGTCTACTCTGTCCTGCAGAAAAGGATACTTATCAACTTTTCCACGTGGCCCTAGAAAAGTCACTGCTAGTCAGAAATCTCACTTTGGAATGTGGGGGTGGCTGGCATCTATCCGGATGTCAGATGAAACAGGAACAGTTCCACTGTAGTAGCCTGCTCTATAAACACACAGAGAACCCCTATTACATGTGAACTATGAAGCTATTAGAAACTACAGCTTTGTGGACTACTTTGAAAATGTGCAAGTGGGCCGGGCGTGGTGGCTCACGCCTGTAATCCCAGCACTTTGGGAGGCCGAGGCGGGTAGATCATGAGGTCAGGAGATCGAGACCATCCTGGCTAACACAGTGAAACCCCGTCTCTACTTGAAAATACAAAAAATTAGCAGGGCGTGGTGGCAGGCGCCTGTAGTCCCAGCGACTCCGGAGGCTGAGGCAGGACAATGGCGTAAGTAAACCCGGGAGGTGGAGCTTGCAGTAAGCCTAGATCGCGCCACCGCACTCCAGCCTGGGCGACAGAGCGAGACTCCGTCTCAAAAAACAAACAAACAAACAAACAAAAGAAAATGTGCAAGTGAAATAAGTGACAAAAAGCAAACACAAGATATTCTGTCCATACGAAACACTGCGAGGCGACACTTGTATTTGTAGATTGACAGAAATTGCAGGTGGAGTTAAAGAGGTACAAACTCAGTATAACATTCATTGCCTCTTTTGCTAAAGTTGTTTCACTGCATAAGAAAAAGATACTGGTCGGGCCGGGTGCGGTTACTCATGCCTGTAATCCCAGCACTTTGGGAGGCTGAGGCAGGTGGATCACCTGAGGCCAGGAATTTGAGACCAGCCTAGCCAACATGGTAAAATTCCGTCTCTATTAAAAATAAAAAAAATTAGCCAGGCATGGTGGCGGGTGCCAGTAATCCCAGCTACTTGGGAGGCTGAGGCAGGAGAATCGCTTGAACCTGGGAGGTGGAGGGTGCAGTGAGCCGAGATCACGCCATTGCACTCCAGCCTGGGTGACAAGAGGGAAACTCTGTCTCAAAAAAAAAAAAAAAAAAAAAAAAAGAAAAAGAAGGAAAAAAGAGAAAGAGATAGTGGTTCCATGTGCTGTTCTAGTTACGCAAAACAACGTGTTGACGTGCAGGCTGCACGATGCCAGGTGCAAATACACACTACCTGTTACAGTAACTGTGACAAGCACAAGGGCTGCTCACTAGCTTGAGTGCAACTTCTGGGGAGTTGATGGCAGTGATCTGTGGGTACTTCCTTCTTAACAAATTTTACATCAATACTGCAACACAGCAATCTCAGCCCTGTGGGCTATACCATAGCCACATGCTTTCACCATTTCCTGCTCAAAGGGAGAGCCCAGGAACTGAATGCTCTTAATCAGGGAGAGCACAGAAACAGCAGCAGAACAGCTGGAGAACCAGGGCTGTGTGGTTTTGGACTGTGGGGAGGGTGGGCCATGGGCAGACTTGACACAATGTGGGAGGGCATTTGACACAGCCCCGTGGAGGACCTAATGCTCAGGGAGGCCTTCACCCAGCACAGTGAGCCATGCCGACACTTGGTGCCTGAGTGTGCTGGTCACAGCGCCCTCCCTGTGATTTTCCCCATAGCAGTGTGTTTTCTCTGCCAGGCAGAAGGCAGAGAAACCCTGGCTGAAAAAGCAGTGAGGGTCATCGACTGCATGAACACATCATCAGCTTTCCCAGATGGAGGCACCCAAGTTTACCCTGCAGGTCCATTCAGCAGGTAGAGCTGGGTCATCACTAAACAGGATCTTTCTTCTGAGCACCTGAGATTCTGGTCCAAATCAGGGCTGTGAGGACCAGGGGCTGGGATTCCGAGCCCAGGCAGCCCTGCAGGCAAGGAGGAGGGAGTGTGTCGGAAGGCTGTATGGCCAGAGCCGCTGACCGGGCCAGGACTTCTTTGTCCCCTCTTCTCTCCTGCATATCAGCACTCACGTCCTCCTGGCTCGGGCTGGCCTGGCAGCTCGGGGAGCTGTTGGATGAAACGTCCATGCGTGTGGCTGTGGCTGTCACGTGCAACTGCGAGGATGGTCGGCTCCCAAAGCGGAACCGCGGTGCTGGGCGAAGGGTCAGGGCTCCGTGGTGCGGCAGAGCGCATGCCAGCGCTTCACCAGCTCCTTGGGCTTGCTGAGCATCTCGTCCCAGTGCTCCAGCTCTCTGCCACGGGTGTACATGTAGGGGCCCACCACCACTCAGCCCAGCTGCTGGCTCTCTGCAGGGGAGGGAGAGCACCAGTGTGCTCCTGAGCACAGAAGCCCCGTCCCCAGTGACCTCCTTTCCTCCCTCCTCCTCCCCAGGAGGAAGTAGCAACTCCCCTCCTCTCTGAGTGGGAGCTGACGGCCCCCAAAGGGGCCCTGCCTTTGCTCTGCAGCTGGAAGGGCTGCTTCTCCCCCTGGGAGATTGGGAGGAAGGAGAGCCCTGAAAGACTCTCTCCTTGAGGGCCACCAGCTCTGACCCACACCCTTCTGTGGGGCCGTATTAAGTCTACCTTATGCCAAAGAGCTGAGGGAGGAAAGGGCCCCTCTAGAAAGAAGGCCTCGGCCATCCGAGAGTACATTCAGCAGTAACGTTCACTGGCCACTGTGGAGAAGGGTCTTAAGTCCAGGCCATGTGGCCAGCCACGGCCTGATGGCTCTGTTTCCCCAGAGTGGCAGTGGGTGCTGGGGTGTGGGGCAGTGTGGGAGAGCTGGCTGACAGAACTCGCCCAGAACCCCAAAGGCTCATCTAGAGGGCACGAGGAAGGTCAGAGCACCAGGTCCCTGGGCTGGTGGCAGCCCTGGTCCCTCCCACTCTCTCGGGTGATTTGCTCCAGAAGAGGGCAGCAGAGGCGATTGCTTAACCTCTTTCTTTTTCTTTTCTTTTTTTTTTTTTGACAGAGTCTCGCTCTGTGGACAGGCTGGAGTGCAGTTGCACGATCTTGGCTCACTGCAACCTCTGCCTCCCGGGTTCAAGCGATTCTCCTGCTTCAGCATCCCGAGTAGTTGGGACTACAGGCGTGCACCACCATGCCTAGCTAACTTTTGTATTTTTAGTACAGACGGAATTTTACTATGTTGGCCAGGATGGTCTTGATCTCTTGACCTCGCGATCCACCCCTCTCGGTCTCCCAAAGTGCTAGGATTATAGGCGTGAGCCACTGCACCCAGCCAACCTCTTTTTTTTTTTTGAGACGAAGTCTCGCTCTGTCGCCCAGGCTGGAATGCAGTGGTGCATCTCGGCTCACTGCAAGCTCTGCCTCCCAGGCTTATGCCATTCTCCTGCCTCAGCCTCCCAAGTAGCTGGGACTACAGGCGCCAGCCACCACACCCAGCTAATTTTTTGTATTTTTAGTAGAGACGTGGTTTCACCGTGTTAGCCAGGATGGTCTCGATCTCCTGACCTCGTGATCTGCCTACCTCGGCCTCCCAAAGTGCTGGGATTACAGGTGTGAGCCACCGTGCCCGGCCCTTTTTTTTTTTTTTTGACGGATTCAGCAGCCTCGCCTCCTGGGTTCAAGAGATCCTCCCGCCTCAACCTCCCAAGTAGCTGGGATTACAGGGGTGTGCCACCACGCCCAGCTAATTATTGTATTTTTAGTAGAGATGGGCGTTTCACCATGTTGGCCAGGCTGGTCTTGAACTCCTGAGCTCAAGTGATCCACCCACCTTGGCCTCCCAAGGTGCTGGGATTATAGATGTGAGCCAGCATGCCTGGCTGCTTAACCTGTTTCTAGGGTGCCACAGACAGAGCTCAACTGGACTAAAGCTGGGCATGAAACCCAGGCCTTGGGCAAGTATTTCAGCCTTTCTGAGCACTAGTTTCCTTAACCAGGGAGGGAGCTCGTACAGCTCCTTCTGAGGTCAGGACAGGAGGCACTCACTCTGCCTGAACACTCGGCAGCCCCTCGTGGTCCCCATCCCAGCAGCCCAGGGTAGGGTGTGGCCTTACTGTCCCCTTCCATGTTCTGCACCGCGGTCAGGCTGAGGCTAGCGGTATCCAGCTTGGTGGCATCGGCCTTGAAGCTGAAGGTCTCATTGTACACAGGGTTGATGGAGCCCAGCACAGCTGAAGTCTTCTTGCACTTGACAAACTTGTTGTGGTTCATCAGAGACACTTTGACAAACACACCTAGGGAACAGTGAGCACTAGTGGGCTGGCAGAGGCAGGCGGGAGCAGAGCCCCTGCCTGTGGGAGGTCCGGCTAGGAGGGCACGTGCCCAAGCTAGGTGCCAGGGCCCCACCCCTCACACAGTGCTGCGGCCCCGCGGGCGTGACCAGAGGAAGCCGGCTGAGGAGTGCACTGCCCTGCGGCCCAGGCGGGGCTCCGCTCCCTTCCTTTTCCTTCCTCTTTGCATCAGGAAAGTACCCATGGCTCCTGCAGGCCCTGGTTTACCAGAGCCTGGCACCACAAGCCTGTCCCTCCCTGTTGGGGGGCTGCTCACTGGGCCCCCAGGCCCCCTGGGGCCCCTTAAACACCTTGTACAGAGGGCTAAGATTTGGTGGGTGAGGGTCAGAGTCACAGTGGAAGGTCTGGATCCTGCCTGGCTTACGGTGACCCCAGACGTGAACACAAACAGGTGGCTGACCACCACCACCTCACTGGGATGGGTGGGATGTGTGGGGTGAGCCCAAATGGGGTGGGACATGTGGGGTGAACCAAGCCCTCCCCCTCTGCAGCTCCTGTATTCTGGGTTCTCAGAAACATCAGAGCCACATTTTCTCAGGGGGCTTCCCTGTCTCTCCAGAACCCAGCTCCCAGCACCCCTCAGGACAGAGCCTGCCCAGCTCTGCCCATGTCACTTCACTGACCCCCGCCCCTGCCAGGCTTCTCCCACACCTGCAGGGCCAGCACCCAACATGCTGAGAGAATGGGGACCCAGAACCAGATGAACACATCAGGGGAAACCGAATCCATTCTCTCTTGGGGTCCTGAGCCTCCCAGTGACAGAAGATCCAGGAGATGCGAGTGGGAGGTCGCCCTAACAGGATCTAACATCATGCTCCAGATTGCTGAAGGGACACAGATCGGTGCCTCCTCTCCTTGACTCTACCCTCCTCACTCCTTAGCACCAGGCCTGGCTGTACATCCCTGCCAAGGTGCAACTAAGACCTTCACCTGCAGCTCAGGGGTGCCCCAGACAGGAGCACAAGAGGAGGCTCATCCCCACCCACAACCCAGGCCGGAGCGAATCTGGCTGCTCAGGCTCTGTGTCTGGCTTCTGCCCCAGGACCTGAGCCCATGTAAACTCAGGCTTCCTTGGCCTGCCCTCCCCAGGCCCAGGTTCTAAAGGTGTGCTCCCCACCACTTCCTTGTTGCTCCTCCACTTTGTCCCTAGAATTACAGCCCAGCTCTAGGTGGGACTGTGAAGCTCTGCCCAATGCTTTCCACGAGTAATCAGATTCAGGCCCTTGTGCCTGAAGACTCCTTGTGAAGACTAGATGACACCTTCTCCAAGAGCAGCTAAGGAATCACCTTGGCTCCTCAGGCTGAGTATACATGTTCTGTATGGAACTTCAGAAAGAAATGGTCAACATTCATTCCTCACTTTACCAGAGAAAGAAGAAAATGTCACGTGCCTTTGATTCCCTCTTTTTACCAAGACTCCACTGAGATAAAACTCCTAACACAGAAACCAACACATATTCTCAACACTGGGTACCTGCTGGAGGTCCTGCCTTAGCCCCGAAGCCTCAGGTTTCCATGGGGACAGGTTGGTTGAGAACTGGTGGCCTAGCTCTCAGCCTGACACCCAATAGTATCCCCACCCAGGAGGCAGATGGTAGTGCAGGCACAGGTTCTGCAGGCTTTCATCTCATGGAACGTATGTTAGAGGGTGTCCTCGTCACTCGCCATGCCCCAGAGGAATCAGCAGGGACATCAGGACTGAGAGAAGACATGGCACATCTGACCTCCTGTCCTGGAAACCCCACATCTTTCTGACTGTGCCAATCACACGGACAATATCTAGAAAAGTTCTGCTCTGCACAGTGTTCTGTCTACCAGGCCCACCCATCTGAGGACCCAGATGCTAGGAACACACAGATACTGAAGGAGCAACCACCTGCCTAAGGTGCAGGTACCCCTGCATCCATCTGTGGGAGGAAGAGCAAGAAACTACCATTTATATGGATTCTTTGGCCCTAAGAATGAACCACCTATTTAGGAGTAACACAGTGATGCAGAATGACCAGGGAGGGTCATTCTCAACCATGCTCCCTGGTCATTCTGCATCACTACAATACACATAGAATCCCCAGAATACACACCTATTAAAGCCTCAATATTCTTGCTTCATACAAACATTTGCTTACAGATCCTGAACACACACACCGCCCCCCACCCCAGTGGTGTGTTGCTAACTGCTTAATAAAATGCTCTCCAGGGGGAAATAGGAAAGCCTAGAATTGTGATGCTTAAGTGGTGTAAATATCTCAGCATGACTAATTTTAAACTACCAACCTAACGCCACTGAACACAGAGATGAGAAGAGATGTGCCATGCCCAGTGGCTACCCCAAGCCAGTACAAGCCAGCTCCAGCACAGCCACATCCTTTCATAGGAATATGTGTACACAATCTACCTGCACCCTGAGTAGGACCCACAACTCTCACCCCAAATATAAAAACAAAACCAAACGATGTACCTCCAGAACACAACCTCCTCATATATCCTGAACAGACACACACAACTGAGATAGGATAGGGTGGCCATAGCCTCCATTAAAGGAGAACAACCTTGCTAAACAGATGAAGAGAACAAACCATCCGACAGTGCACAAGGAGGTCCTGCAGTAAGGAGGTGGAAAAGAAGAAGGGGAAATCCCCAAATTCGCACAAGTGTGAAAACCCATGATTAGTGTCCCTGGGTTGACCAGTGCTCATTATAACAGTGAAAAACACACCCTTGGGTAGAGATTTAAGATGTTAATGATTCACCTGATATAGGCACTAGCATGTGCAGCATTTAGCGCATGCACGTCCAGAGAACAGTCCAGAGAGTGCTTAACAGTGACACCCCTTCCCACCCCTTCATGAATAGTCATGTAAGGCTCCCATAAAGGAGGTTTCCCCAGTGTCAGTCAATGCTGTCTCACCTTTGAGCAGCCCACTCTGATCGGCTGTCAGAGTGTACATTCACTTTGCAGTAACCTCTCTTGCTTACTTTTACGTTGGACTCACTCTCAAAGTAAGACTTCTTTTGTGCAGCAAAGTCAAGAACCTGAACCAGCCCACCAGCAACACAACTGCTACCTGTACCCTAAATACACAGATGGCCTGCACCAATTATTACTTAAATTTGCAGACAAAACTCTACCTGCCCCAAATGCTCACCTCACTGCTAAAACCATATATGTACATATATACGTGCCCAAATACAAACACGTACAATGAACACAGTACCCATATATACCCATATATAGTGTGAACCCTGAAAGGGCTGATCATGAGTGGCTAACTGGGCCTAAACTCAAAATGGAGCCAAGCAGCCATTTGCTGACTGCAAGTCTCACACATTTACCCTGTTTCCTGCAAAAACCACGTACTTGTGTTACTTTGGGACTTTCACAGCTGTCTGTTCCTGTTTATGTCACCTGAATCAAGGGGTACCATTTCATCATATGGACTTAAGAAATAGACTGTGACTTGCATCAGCCAATCAGAAATAAACAAGCTTGTATCCCTCATTTGCAGAGTGAACCAGATCGGGAATCTGAGAACGAATTTCTCTGTAAAAGATAATACCTCTCTTTGTTCTTTCAGAGTGTATCTTTGTTTTGCACTGAAGGCTGGGACTCCTTGATTTGCAAACAGCTCAGTGGAATCAAATTTCTATTTTTTTCTTTTGTTATTTTTTAAAGAAAATCCTTTTCAGTAGATTTGTTAACAGTACATAATGAAAATCCTATAGGCATAGGCTCAAAAAAAAAAATCACAAGGTATACAACACTTGTGTCATGCATCACCCAGAAAAAGAATCACATACAATCCCACAGCTCTAAAATACAGGAATCCATGATTCTTGAATCCAAACACAACCTACACAGCCTCTCTGTTTCCAAATACATGCACTGAACCTCCCACATCTCCCAGAATACAAAACACAGAAGCCACATAAACTCAAATACACACAGAACCACAAACTATTTTTATCAAATACATATAAGTCCACCTCACGAACTCTGAGAACACACATACAAGTGGCAACACCAAATTCTGCGAGTATTACATTTCACAACAGACACAGAGGACCACTAAGTCTTAATATACCCAAAACCCCTCATATACACACTCACAAACTACCCATGAATACACACCTCACCCTCCCAGATAAAACCCATACAATACAAAAAAAAAAAAAAAAACCCACAAAAACACCAATAATACTCTAATATACGCACACAACTTTCATATACCCATGGGCACATACAAACTCACACAAATATCCCCAATCCCTGAGTGTATAAATCCCCCGAAACACTATCCAATCAATATGCTACATCTCCAGAATACAACCTCCTCACCTCATCCCCTAAACATGCCCAAACACATGTACGAACATCCTAGCATTCTCCAAAGAAATACACTTTAAATACTAACAATCCCGTATTCTATAAACAGACTTAGATAATTCATCTATCTGCTGATAAATATACACACAAACCAGTATACACACCCAAGATGCACAGAAATATCTCCAGCATATCATTTATAAATACCCATAAAAACAGTTCCCAATCCCAAATTATCCCAATCTAGTATGAACCAGCTCCCACATTGCCAAGTACTAACCAATAACCATATCACATACCTCTAATACATATAAATTCAACTCTCCCACTCTCCTGTATAAAAAGAGAACCTCATCTCTCTATCAGACACACACATACTAAATTCCCAGAATATATAACCCTAATAACCACTTACTGAAAAACACAAGCACATAGCTCCACAAAACCTTCATCTAAACTGCCACGCCCTTGAACACACCCACAGACTCAATACTCATGTATTTGTCTACATGCCCTAAATATACCCGCGATTAACTAACACGCCACAAATATGCAAACATGCCACCTCATATCCCCAAATACACATACAGTTCCACAATACCTGCACATATGTAATCACACTTCCAAATGCTCACACAGAAATAACTCCTCCATCTTCCAAGACACAGAATCATATAAACTCCACCTCATAACTGCACACATTCATCCTACCAGTCCCCCAGTAGACATGGATCTGCCCTCACACATTGAAATAGCCATACACACCCCCTGAAAATCATGAAAAGAAGCACGCATCACCATGCAACATGCCCCGAGTATACAAATGGTCTTCCTACATTTCCCAAATACGTAAACCAAACAGAGCGTACATCCACAAAATAGACACAAGCACTTTCTCTGTTATTGCCCATGTGCACAAGATAATTCTTCCAAATCTGCCAAACATTAGACAAATACAAATCGCCAACATTCATCTGAGAAAACACATGGAAAATACATCTTCACAACCCAAATCACAAATATATAACCCCAATTCTTCTGGTATACATATCTTACATCTCATATTCTCCAAATATAAACTCTCACTCCTACACACTCTCACAAAAACAGTTATGACCTTCTTTTTTAGGGGGCGGGGAATGGAGTCTCGCTCTGTCGCCCAGGCTGGAGTGCAGTGGCACGATCTGGGCTCATTGCAACCTCCGCCTCTTGGGTTCAAGTGATTCTTCTGCCTCAGCCTCCCGAGTAGCTGGGACTACAGCCATGCACCACCACACCCAGCTAATTTTTGTATTTTTAGTAAAGACGGGGTTTCACCATGTTGGTCAGGCTGGTCTCAAACTCCTGACCTCAGGTGATCCACCTGCCTCGGCCTCCCAAAGTGCTGGGATTATAGGTGTGAGCCACCGTGCCCGGCCCAGTTATGACATTCTTTAATCTGCAGTCTCCACACAGACACCACCAACCCACACATGTGAATACATATTAGATTCTCACCAATTAAATACATATCAAATTCCAAACTAAGAATTCATATAAACATATTTTCACATACACAAAACCACCCGCACAAATCTCACACCCTCCAAAATCCAAAATAAATCTTCCTGACATTCTCAAGTACACACTAACCCAACCACCCAAGATAACACACGTGTGTGCAGTAAATTTTAGATACATGTGTAGCTACAATTTACAAATAATATACCACTACTTTTTATTTGTAAATCCCACATAAGTAAGCAATTCTCATGGAAGCTTTTCTTGACTTTGGCCACACTCTTGCATCCACAACCAACTTGTGCTACCAAGTGAACAAACTATGACTAAAGGACTGTTCTTCCACTTTGCAGCTGCTCCTATCAGTGACAAATCAGCGTATTAGAACATGCATGCTGGTTGATCATTCTGATCAAGTCAACAAGCTTCACAACTTACTCAATGAGGTCGTCCGTGAGAACTTCACTGTTTTACGGGGACAGGAGCTACTTCTTTGCTGAACTGCATCACGGTTTCAACTGCTGAGGTTTTCTTCAAGCTTTTGCATTGTTTGGAATGTGAAAGGCACGGCCGAGACACACTTTGAGGTTCCCACTGCATTGTTACACCTCCCCCCTCACTTCAGGGCCAGGTGAGCAAGGGAAAGGAGTGCGGCCTGGGCGTCCCGCAGGGCCCCCACTAGGAAAGCTATGAACGCTCCCGCCTTGAGCACAGCCACAGGCCTGCTCTGGTCACAATGTGGGGTCGCCCCGCAGACACTGGTGACCAGTGGGAGCATGACCAGGAGGTGATTACCTTCTGATCACCCTTGGCTTTATTTTTAGGTAACACCAAGAAGGACGCCATGAGAGCGAAGGCCATTGGGTAACCACCCTTTGCTCTCGCGCTGCGCGTCTCCCTGCCATCAACCGCCACTGGGAGCGGTTGAGGGCGGCCGGCCTCGCGCTGGAACCTTGCCCGCCTCAAGGCTCCTGCGGCGGCGCACGGGGCAGGCCAGGAGCCCGCCCTAGGAGGGCCCCGCTGGAGATGTGGAAATGGAGGGACGCGGCACCTGGGCGCTTCCTGGGGCCAGACAACGCCCCCTCATTGGAACCTCCATGACCGTGCCTCTGAGAAACCAGCGCGTCTGCGACGATCACTCCTAATTTTCGGTAATACAAACCTGCAGTCCATGCACTTAGGTAACACCCTTGCTGAAAGGTTTACCTTTGGAGGGTTTATCCTAAAGCAAAGTATCCTCGAATTGCATGTCTTGCATTCCCTTTGGATGGCATTGATTTCATTCCTGCTCATGCCTTTCAAAAAACAGTATGCCCTGTTTTCCTACTCAGTCTGGAGGTTCCATTAAAGAGTATTTCTGGCAAAGATTTTTAGACCTGAAAACACACTCCAAAATATACTTTCTTCTGACTCCATTCCCAGAGTTTTTCCTACCGCATTCAAATGATTTCTAGAAATGTTTTTGTTGTAGCCTTGATCAATTTCAGTCGATAAAGCAGCAGATAGTAAGGGAACAATTCCACGCTCCCCACCCCTGACTCTGCAACACAGTGCAGAATTCCAGTTGGCAATAAAAAACTAGTAGAGAAGGAACTCACTGACTTCAGTTTGTAATACCGTCAGAAGAAACTTTAATCGTCACATCCTTTCTGCTCATTTGCAGGATTCCTATCATCTGTCTCCACGTGATAACACTGAAGAGCCTTCACGTTGATGCAGGCCCAGGGCCTCAAGTGCAGAGACTGAGAGCTCTGCAGGACACAGCATGGAGCCGCCATTCCTCTATGGGTGGAAGAGCATGTGTCCTCTGAACAGGGGATCCAAGCACTGAGATATTCTTTCTCAGCTGTCAGTGCGGCCCAGGACTTTCTGTGGGGATGCTCAGACAGCAGGGGCCGGAGGACTTTTAGCCAACACCTAAAATGGTCAGTCTTCACAAATTACCTTTGGCTAATTTGACTGTCTCTCCTCCTGGGGTCTAGGACTTCAAACATGTACAGAAGCGATTGCAGAATTAAGACAAGACACTTCCACAATATATTTTTTGTATCACTGGCTCAGAAAAAGACTCATTCAAATCCTGTATCAAAGCCACGTGTGAGAATCTTGAGAAAGCATCAGCTGACTGACTTGACAAGGGAGGAAGCAACCAAAAATTCTGCGCTTCTTCAGTATCTGAGTATGATATTTTGCTTCAACATCCCTCTTAGATGAAGTTATTGATTGAAAATCATTTAAGTTTGCCCCATGGTAAAAGATCAAGTCCTCAGAAAGATCTCCAAAGTGTTTACGGTTTGTTTTGTTTTGGTAAGTTTACCATGATTTTGCTTGAATTGCTCTCCGTTGATCTTCTCAGCTAAGATGGAGGTAGAGTTGCACAGTAGAAGAGGGCTGCATGTAAGAAGGCAGTTCTGTCTCAGAGGACAAAAGGCCTGGGAGCACCCAGACAGACAGTCACTGCATGGAGGTCACTCCCCTCCCAGTGGCCACTGTGGAGACATTTCACAGAAATGCTTGCTGGACCATTCAGGTTCAGAGTTGGGACAAAACCGAGAACTCATGGGGATATTGGACAGGAGTTAGGAAATGACCTTCTCACACAACTGGGGCAGTGGGGGAGAACCCTGGGCTTGAGACTTGCAATCCACCACTTGCCCCTGCCCCTGCCCCTGCAGTGTGGCCGCTGTTACCTTTTCCTGCAACTCTGCCTTCTTGAGTCCAAATGTCTTCGAAAGGGGCAAATGCTTCGTAAGTGCCGACAGGGTGTGTTTCAGTGAATGTTTGCAGTGTGCACCGGTCTGGCTGAAGGCCTCTTCCCTTCCCCAACACCCTCCCATCGTGCAAAATTACCCTGCCCAGCAGGGAGTGACTTGTGTGTCTCAGAAGATTTTGTTGCTGTGCTCTGAGTTCTCACTCCTCATCTCCTTTGACCAGTTTCTTCTAATACTCCCCTTGTTCACAACACAGAACATGAGTGCTCTTTCCTATCATTTTGACACTAATAAACGGACAGTGATTCTCAGTGTGGAAATGAGAATGAAGTTTTTTTTAAAGACAGGCTACAATAATTCCCATGCAGAGAACCACATGCGATGACACTGGATTCCAAACAGCAAGAACGTATGGTGAAGATGAGGCCAACAGTGAGCTGAGAGAGGCCAGCCAGGGTGTGTTTCAGTGAAGATGAGAAACAATCAGATAACACCTGTTTCCTCCAGGAAAGAAAATGTGGCCAGGGAAAAGAGATGGGAGGAAGGCTGGTCATTGCCTATTCCACTGTGCACAGTTTGAATTTGGAGCCATGAAAAGTATTGCTTGGTTAAATTAAAATCATTCAAAAGATAAAACATAAACATTTAACACCAGCACAATATGCTGGGAAACAAAATGAAAGGATTTCTGGTCTCGGTGCTGTAGGTCACATAGCCACTCTTTCCTGGATTGAGGCTTTCCAGCAAAGGGGCTGGGACGTAAGGCTGGCCTGCTGGTGTGGACAGAGATTCCAGCAACATGCATGACCTGGGGGTACAAGGATTGCTTCCTAAACAATGATAAGCACACAGCCACCTAATAGTCTGGATCGGCTGAGACCATCCTGATTTCAAACACCCAGTCCCCTTGCCTTCCTAAGAACCCCTGTGTTTCTCAGACTGAAAATGTGTTTTGAACTTTGTTCACGAAGTGAGGCCGCTGTTGAAATTCGTCAAGACTGGGAAAGAGCCAAAGTGGGAAGGAGCATGGGTTGATTGGCACAAAAGTAGGTCTGCTGATAAAGAATGGAAGTAAAGGGGCCATCAGGTAGAAGCTTTTGCTGTGAGTCAGAAGGACAATTTAAAAGTTGCCTAAAGAGGCACACGCCATCTCTGCTGCTGCCTTCCAGTTGGAAGGGAAACTCAGGTTCTTGCCTAATGGCCAAAGCCCTTCACAGAATGTCCCCCACCCCTAACAGCTGCCCACTGCCCCTCCCCCTCTGCAGAATGTCTGGGGTCCTATGTTCCAGGAACCTGTTTACTTTCAAATTTTCCCTGTTTCAGTTGGACTCAGGAGCATCTGGTGAGCCAGGTCACTCTCTGGGTCTTACCCTTGGCTTTTCTCATTGCGGAAACTGCCAGACAGCGGTGGTCAGTGCCCAGCCTGAGGGGATGGCTTCAAATGGAGGTAAGCCTGTAGGGATGGGGGCATTATCTGAGTCTGCCATGCCTCAACTCCTTAGGAATTCAAATTTGACACTGCCCCGGGGACAGTTGATAGGGCTGATGTTGAGGAGGGAGGGAAGACTGGATGTCCCCAAGGACATCACACCTGGGGATGGCCATGGCACCCTGAGTCTGTGTTTAGGGAGGACGGCCCCTTAGAGGTGGAACAAGATGCCTGGGGGAATACACCGTGTAGGAGAAAGGACAGAGTGGATGGATTGATCCTTTCTAGAAGGAGACAGGTCACGTCATTGTGTGTTTGTAGGGAGTGGTGGGATCATGTTGTGCTGGTGGCCCCGGGAGGATGATAGGCAAGCCTGAACCCTGTGCCATATCTTCAGGCACCTGGAAGGTGCCCTTCCATAGTGTTCAGAGAGATTTGGACTGGAGTTTTCTAGATCTTAGGGAGGAGTGGGGAGAAGTGGTCTCAGCCAGAAAACTGTTGGGTGGGTTGGCTGTGACAGAGCATGTAGTGACAGCCCCTGGGTGGGCGAGGCTGGGGGCTGCTGTAACTGCCACAGCCCAGAGCCCCTCAGCTCTCTCCCTAGAGATGGCTTCTCCATCAGTTCAGGTAGCTGTTGGCTTTGATTTAACAGGGGTGGGGGCAGATGAGGAAGTTCAGGCAACACAGGGCCTGGGTTTCCTGAGTTGTTCTGAATTGTTTGCCCTTTTGTGGAAGCTCAGGTCTTCAGACCCACTTCCTCTTGTCTGCTAGCTCATGGCCTGTCCTCTGCACTTTGTGTTACTGTGGAGATGAAGAATTTGCTCCTATTCCATTTATACTACCTCATGAACGGGGGGCAGGTGTGGATTCTTGCTGGTTCTCAGTGGAAGGGTCTGGAAAGGCTGGTTTCCTTTTCAGTAGAGGAAGGAGAGTAGCGCACGAATAGGAAGATGGTTCTCTTATTATTATTATTCAAGTTAGGATACGTGTCCTGAATGATGAGGTGCATGTGCTGTATCCCTTATTCCCCTTGACTAGAGACTGCATGAGGTCCTATTGAACAGGGATGAGTTCCAGACAACTTTGCCTCACCCGGCCCATGGCCCAAGAACCCCTGGTTTTTGGTTGGTCACTATGTTCAGTCATTGGGAGCTCAAAGGAGAAGGGCCAGGGATGGGCTCCTTGTCCCACTACCTATTGTAACATGACCAGCAGCTGTGAAAATCCCTAGACACCTCCCCTGTTAGCTCTGCTGCTCGCCATTTGCTGGCTGTGTTCTAATCGTGTGTGGCTTTTGCTGGCTATGCAGTGACACTGTCTCAGGGGACTCCACCACTGCCTCTCAGACCTGCTCCCTGGGAACAGAGCTTCCTGAGTGGCAGCCGGGACCATCGAGTACTGCGGAAAGGGTGGCCCGAATCTGACCCCTATTTAGCACTTGCTGTGGGTGGTGCCAGGACAATCACTTGCATGCTGGGCATGACGAGTTATGGATTATCTTCAGGGTTCCTAGGGCGCTGGCTTGGGAAAGATTTCCATCCAGTGGTTTTGTTTTGTTATGTCTGAGCTGGGAAAGAAAGGGGTTTACAAGAGCGTCAGGAAAAGGAAGATTGAAGAGGAGATGGGGCCATAATATTCGGAAGCTTCTGGCTTCCTGTCGGCCTTCTGAGTGCCGAGCACTGCCCTGGGGTAGGCCCCTCACCTGTTGCTGAGCACGCTGAGGACCACCAAGCCGCTGAGAGACTCATCCCTGACCCATGGCTTGGGAGATGCCTGTGAGGCTGACAGGGTCTGCCAGGGACACCCGAGGGAGACCCTCGGGCAGCGAAGGCTTGGCTGTTACTTCTTGGGAGACAGGGGTCAGGGAGTCTTGGTGACCGGGGCCAGGCTCTCTAGTGGAGCGACTCTCCGTGGAGGAACAGAGCATCCGATGCACACTCAGGGACATTTGCAAGCTGCAGTTTCCCTGTCATACGCCCTTAGCTGTTGGGACTCCCCTCTGATTCCCCAGTGACTAGTGTGGACCTGGAGACCCCAGCTCATTCACCTCTTTCCTTTGTCTCCACAGCATACCCAGCGCTGGGACCGGGCGTGACCGCGAACCCTGGCACCTCCCTGTCTGTGTTCACGGCTCTGCCCTTCACCACACCCGCTCCCGGCCCAGCACACGGGCCGCTCCTTGTGACTGCAGGGGCTCCTCCAGGCGGCCCTCTGGTGCTGTCTACCCTCCCCAGCACACCTCTGGTGACAGAACAGGATGGCTGCGGCCCGAGTGGGGCCGGGGCTTCCAACGTCTTTGTCCAGATGAGGACAGAGGTGGGGCCTGTGAAGGCCGCTCAGGCGCAGACCTTGGTCCTAACTCAGGCCCCCCTCGTCTGGCAGGCTCCAGGCGCCCTCTGCGGAGGTGTTGTGTGTCCACCTCCCCTACTCCTGGCAGCTGCTCCTGTGGTGCCTGTTATGGCTGCCCAGGTGGTTGGGGGCACCCAGGCCTGTGAGGGAGGCTGGTCCCAGGGCCTTCCTCTTCCACCACCACCACCACCGGCTGCCCAGCTGCCCCCCATTGTGTCCCAAGGGAATGCTGGGCCATGGCCACAAGGGGCTCACGGAGAGGGCAGCCTGGCTTCCTCCCAGGCCAAGGCCCCGCCAGATGACTCCTGTAACCCCAGGAGTGTCTATGAGAACTTCCGACTCTGGCAGCACTACAAGCCCCTGGCCCGGAGGCACCTTCCCCAGAGTCCTGACACCGAAGCGCTTTCGTGCTTCCTCATGTGAGTGTCCTCGGGGCATTGGAGCTGGTCCTGCAGCTCACACGTAAAGAGGCTGCTGGATGGACGGGAGGTCACGCTGTTCAGGGGAGCTTGCAGGGCGGTTGTGAGGGTGATGGGCTGCACTATGGGAAGGTATATTTTTGACCATATTAATCTGGCTGCGGCTCAGGACAGACTGTCAGGGGCCTCATCTCAACTGCCCGTCACTGTCCCGTGAGTCCAGCCAATCCTTACTTTCAATAATTTTCACAACAATGTTTACAGAAGACCCAGGTCAGAGAGGGTTCCTGGTGTGACGTGAGCTACGGTTTGGGTTTAGGTCTTTGAGTACACGCCCCAGTGCCTCCCCTTTAACCCAGTATTGATGGCCAGGAGCACCTCACATGGGGCCGGGGGGAGGAGCTGCAGGACCCAGCAGGAACCTGACACATGCCCGCAGTTCCGCTGAGGTCCAGTTAGCACAGCGGTGGTGGAGCCTGCACAGGGGGATGGTCTTGGGCCCTGCACTGGGGCCGATGCCGAGCAGGTATTTGCATCTTCACCCTCAATCCCTCCTAGAAAAAGGGACAATGATGCTTCATTCAGAGGATGGTGAAGAGATAACTTGAGCTCACATATGACATGCATAGCACAGTGCCTGGCACATGCTATGACACATTACATGACAGCAGTTATGATTACTGTCCCCATTACTATCATTATCAAGACTAGGCCATCTAGGAGAGCACTCCCCAAAGCCACGGGCTCCAGTGATAGCTCTGAGTGCACCATGAGTCCAGCAGCCCAGGGCCATGGACTGTGGTGACTGTGAGGCAGCAACGTCAGCATCTGGGAGAGTTTGTGGTTTCATTCCCAGTCCCTGCCTCTCTCCACCCTGCGGTGCCTCTGTGACCCTGTGTTTCCCGCTGATGAGCAAACGGGAGCTTGAGCACATCCACCGTGCAACACACTGGCCGTTCCCCTAGGGAAGTCCCCTGCCTGGGGTGTAGGTGGAAGGTGGCCCCATTTTCATCCCCCAAAATCTCGCTGTTCCCGCACCCTGGAACTGGTTGCATTCCTCCTTGGAGCGGAGTCCCGGTGCACTGGGGACCCTGATTCTTGGGGTGGAGCTGCCCCAGGCTCACAGGCCTTTGCCATGGCTCCTGTGGGAATGTGGGATCTGGACCTGCTGCTTGCAGTGGCGTGGACACCGCTCTGCTTTGGTTCTGGACGTGTGCTCCTGCTCCTCATGCTCCAGGGCCCTGAGGCTACGTCCCCAGGGGCTGCCTTGCTCCAGAGTCCCCAGGAAGCCGGTTAAATGCTCAGTCTTGGGGCCCTGGAACCTGCACTTTAACCCTCACCCCCAGGTCATTCTGTGTGCACGCTGTCTCAGTCAGCTCAGGCTCTGCCGTAACGAATGCCGTAGACTGGGTGCTTTATCAAGACACATTCATGTCTCCCAGTTCCAGAGGCCAGAAGTCCCAGATCAAGGTGACAGCAGATCGGGTGTCTGGTCAGGGCCCTCCTCCTGGCTGGAGAGAGCTGTCTCTGGCTATGTCTCCTCGTGGCTGAGAGCAAGAGCCCTGGCGTCTCCTTCTGCCCTTATCAGGGCTTGGATTCCATGACTGGGACCCACGCTCATGACCTGCTTTAACCCTGATTGCCTCCAAATACTGACACATTGGTGCTGAGGACTTCAGCACAGGAATGTTGGAGACACACATGTTCCACCCATAGTACTGAGTCCACTTCTCAACACTGAGGACTCGAGGGGCAGTCGGAGAGGCCACTTGGTAGCTTGTGTTGATGTTTGATCTTGGGGGTGTGTCCTGGGGCCTGAGGAGCCCACATGGGGGAGAACAGGACAGGGACAGATGGCAGGACAGGTGTGGGGAGGACAGGGGCCAGGTGTTGGGACCAGGTGGGCTTGGGATGAAGGGTGGGCTTATAGACTGAGACTGACTGCACTGGTTTACAGCCCAGTTCTCCGATCCCTGGCCCGGCGGAAGCCCACCATGACCCTGGAGGAGGGACTGTGGCGGGCCATGCGGGAATGGCAGCACACGAGCAACTTTGACCGGATGATCTTCTACGAGATGGCGGAAAAGTGAGTCTGGGGTCCTGGGAGCGGGGCCCGCGTGGCAGGGTGAGAGTGAATGACAGAGGCCCGGTGGCCATGGTGGCTTCTCAACGTGGAGTATGAGGAGGGTGTGGAGAAACCCAGGACACTCTGGGCCCCTGGCTCCCTCAGGAAGCTGCTCCTGCCACCTAGAGTGTTCTGGGGTCTCTGTCCTGGCCTATTGGGAAGCACCCCCTGCCTGGCCTGGGGCCATCCCTGCCTTGACACTGGAGGTCATGGCAGGAGCAGCCAGCATCACAGACCAAAGTGGGTCACCTCCAGCTGTGGGGATGGGGAGAAGGGGCGCTAGTGACTATGGACAAGAGTAGGGTGCAGGCTCCTCACAGCAGTGGCCAGAAGTCGGTTTTCTCCCATCCCAGCCTGGCCAGGGAGTTGGGTTGGGGAGACCTGCACCTGGGACACCATGGGACCCATCTCTGGCCTGACTGCCTTTGCTCCTGGGCAGTCCCCTCCATGAAGGCAGACAGATAGACAGCAGCCTCAGGGGAAAGGGGCCCTGTCCTCTGAGCTCAGCTTTTGCTTCCTCCTGACCAGGGGTCTCCCAGGCCTCGTGCCCCTGGGTTATCTTTCAGGGGCCCACAGTCCTAGCCTCAGGACTCCTGCATCTGGGCATCATCCCTGATGCCTTCTGCCATAAATCCCACCCCTGGCCAGCTGAAACCTGGAGGAGGGGTCCCCCGAGACCCTCCTGGACCTCGTGGCCCTGAGTTGAGTCAGGAAGCCCCGTTGATGCCATGGGCTCTGCAGGGGCCGGGTGAGGGAGGGTGAGCCCAGAACTCTGGGAGCAGCTTTCTCCTGGGACTGGGGGATGGGACACAGTGAGGGCCTGGACAGCCCACCCGAGGCACTCCCTCCCATCCCTGCCCTCGGCCGCTGCCTGGTCCTGGGGGGAGGGGGCCTGGACCCTCTCAGCACAGCCTGGGCCTCCTTCACCGCCAGGTTCCTGGAGTTTGAGGCTGAGGAGGAGATGCAGATTCAGAAATCGCAATGGATGAAGGGGCCCCAGTGCCTGCCTCCTCCAGCCACACCGAGGCTTGAACCTCGAGGACCCCCGGCCCCTGAGGTGGTCAAGCAGCCAGGTATGGCTTCCCACATTCCCACAGGAGCCATGGCAAAGGCCAAAGGGGCCAAGGGAGGCCACTGTCCCCACACCCCATGCTTCCCTTCGAGAGGGGGATTTGCTCCCTCCAACAGGACAGTTTCCAGGAGCATATGTTCGGTATTGACCTGGTCAAGTTTCCTAGCTACTCTCTCCCCTCGCCTGTCCAAAACTCCACATATGCTCTGCCCAGGAAGCAGGGATGAGCGGGGAGAGTACACGGCATATTGGTGGCTCCAAACTTCCTCCCAAGCGATGCTGTCTCAGATGTGCCCCTCCTGCCTCCTCCGGGGGCGCTGCGGTTCAGGTGGTCCTGACCCAGCTGGGACCCACTTCACATCCCCAAGCCCTGCCCTCCCCTGTGTGGTGCCAGCAGGAGGAGCGGCCCTCACCACGCCCGTCCTCCTCCCTCTCTGCCTCAGTGTACCTTCCCAGCAAGGCCGGCCCCAAGGCCCCGACTGCCTGCCTGCCACCACCCAGGCCCCAGAGGCCAGTGACCAAGGCCCGCCGGCCACCACCCCGGCCCCACCGGCGAGCAGAGACCAAGGCCCGCCTGCCACCACCCAGGCCCCAGAGACCAGCAGAGACCAAGGTCCCTGAGGAGATCCCCCCAGAAGTGGTGCAGGAGTATGTGGACATCATGGAGGAGCTGCTGGGGCCTTCCCTCGGGGCCACGGGGGAGCCCGAGAAACAACGGGAAGAGGGCGAAGTGAAGCAGCCACAGGAAGAGGACTGGACGCCCCCAGACCCGGGCCTCCTGAGCTACACTGACAAGCTGTGTTCCCAGAAAGACTTCGTCACCAAGGTGGGCTGGCCTGGAGTGCTGGGGTCTGCTGGATTCCAGGGGGTGGCACTCCCAGGTCCTTGGAATTAAGCTCTGTTCCTTAGCTACTCAGCAGTGTGTGTATTTCCATGGATTTGAGTATCTGTGTATGTGATTGTGTGTGTGTCTGTGTGTTGCTGTGTGTTTGTGTCTGTGGTTTGTTACTGTGTGTCTTTGTGTGTCTGTGTGGGTGTGAGTGTGGAGTGTGTACGTTACCTGTGTCTGTGTCTTTTCCTGTGTCATATGTGGGTCTGTTTGTGTGTCTGTGTGTGGTTTGTGTGTCTCTGTCTGTGTGTGTGTAGCTACCAGGTCTGTGGTCTGTGTCTGTAGCTGGTGGTCACCATGATATGAGACAGCCCCAGGAGGGTGGGGACGGGGCGCTCGCTGCTTTCTGCATCTCCTCCAGGTGTCCTTGGCTCCAGGTTACTCCCTGCCCAGGAAGCTCACGCCTTCTTCCTTCTGTTTCCAGGTGGAGGCCGTCATTCATCCCCAATTCCTGGAAGAATTGCTTTCCCCAGATCCACAGATGGATTTCTTGGCCCTAAGCCAGGAGCTGGAGCAGGAGGAAGGACTCACCCTTGCCCAGGTACCCCAGGGGCAGGAGGGACCTGGCACACAAGGCCCACCTGATTGTCTAATCCCCCCTGCTGGGGATGCTCGGCTTCTTGGGGAGCCACTCTGGAGTGGGAAGATGCAGGTTCAGAGGGAGTAGGATGGACAGGAGCCAGGGAGGGGAGTCAGCATGCAAGCTGTGGTGAGGCCCAACGGGAGGCCCGGCAGAGCCACACCCTCTCTCTTTGACATAAAGCCCAGCTGCCTCAGGCTTCCCTACCTGCCGCCTAAGTGCCCTGGTCTCCACCACCCTGGGCCCCGCTCACACCTGGGGCAGTGCCCGTAAGTGCCCCCTTTCCTCCCGCAGCTAGTGGAGAAGCGCCTCCTACCCTTGAAGGAGAAACAGCATGCGAGGGCAGCCCCTAGTCGTGGCACAGCCCGGTTGGACTCAAGTTCTTCTAAGTTTGCAGCTGGCCAAGGAGCAGAGAGAGACGTCCCTGTCCCCCAACAAGGGGTTGGCATGGAAACCTGCCCACCCCAGACGACTGCCCGGGACTCTCAGGGACGAGGCAGAGCACACACTGGCATGGCCAGGTCCAAAGACTCTGTTGTGCTTTTGGGATGTCAGGATTCCCCTGGGCTGAGGGCTGCCCGGCCAACCTCTCCTCCCCAGGACCACAGACCCACCTGCCCTGGCGTGGGTACCAAGGATGCCTTGGATCTCCCTGGAGGGTCTCCTGTCAGGGAGTCACATGGGCTGGCTCAGGGGTCAAGTGAGGAGGAGGAACTCCCCAGCCTGGCCTTCCTCTTGGGTTCCCAGCACAAGCTTCTGCCCTGGTGGCTACCCCAGAGCCCTGTCCCTGCCTCGGGCCTTCTCAGCCCAGAAAAGTGGGGACCCCAGGGAACTCATCAGTTCCCATCTGCTGAGAGAAGAGGCCTCAACCTAGCACCTTCTCCTGCCAACAAGGCCAAGAAGCGACCTCTCTTTGGAAGCCTGTCCCCTGCTGAAAAGACACCCCACCCAGGGCCTGGGCTCAGGGTCTCTGGGGAGCAATCCCTGACTTGGGGGCTGGGTGGCCCCTCACAGTCTCAAAAGAGAAAGGGTGACCCCTTGGTCTCCAGGAAGGAGAAGAAGCAGCGTTGTAGCCAGTAGGGGCTTCTGAGCAGGCTCTCTGGGGCCGATCCCCAAGGATGGGGCTCTGGCATCCGATGCCCCAAAGCGGTCAAAAGCTTCTTCTCCCCCAGTGCTGATCTTGCTGGGCCTTAGCTTTGGAGGGTAGGGGAGGGAGGGGAGGGAGAGGGTGGCTGAATGGGGAGGGCAGGAAGGGAGGGTCTGGGGGGAAGGGGCTGGGGAGTGGGGGTGGGAAGCAGTGCGTTGGGGGCCTCGTGTGTAAGTGTGAATAAATGTAGTTGTCTTGGAAAATGCTCTTGGGGCTGCTGCCTCTGTCCTCGGTGCTGTGCTGCTCTGTGGAGGGTGTCTGTGAGGGAGGGCAGAGGAACCGGCAGATGCCAGGCTCTGGGAACCCACAGGGGCCGGCCCCACTCTTTCCTCCTGACGTAGGGAGCCCCTTCAGATGCTCCAGGGACTGACAGATGCTGAGGAAGCCCTGATCCCTCCCACCACCCACTCACAAGGCCCTGCCTGCTTTAGGGAGGCTTCTTGGGGCCCCCCCATCGTTATCAGCATCCCTGGAAAATCCTGGGATTGGAGAGAGCTGGCTGGCTCTTGTTCTGCTCGGTGGGAGCTGAGGAGAAGGCAGCCGCCTGCAACATGGACATGGGGAGAGGAGGCTGCTCCTGCTTAACCCTCATCAGGAAGAGCGCGGGCACTGGGCTGAGGGGAGACGTTGAGGTGACCATCCACACAGGTGTGTTTGGGATACGATGATGGGTGGGGAGCAGGGGAAGTCCTTCTGCCTGTTTCTGGGCAGGAGAGAGTCTTGTCCAACTAGCTAAAGCAGATGCTCCTTGCTGTGGCCACAGGGACTGGCCTCGGGGCCCTCAAGGTCCTGCATGGAGCCCCCCACAGCTATGATTCCCTTCCCATATGATGACTGAACTCATGTGGAATTGATGTAGACACAGATTTACATTGGTTTCTAAAACAGTTCCCTCCCAACACACCATCACCAATGGGAACAAGCATGTCCAGTCCATCAGGCGCAGGGTGGGTGTTTCTGCTGGTTCCAGGGCCCGGAGGAGCTGGGGCCCAGGCCAAGAGGGGCCGAGGGTCTGCCGCCCTTCTGCCAGGCACAGACCCCAAGGGCAGAGCAGGGGCTGCCTGGGATGTGGCATTGGCTGTCTGGGAAGTGCCCTGGGAGTTGGGGGCTAGGTGTTCGCCAAAGAGAGACTTCCAGAGTCTATGAGTGAGATGAGGACTGCATCAGGAGAGGGACCGAGGCTGGGGAGGATGCTCTGCTCTTTCCCAGGTTGTCCTGTCTTCCCAATCTCTGCTGAACTGCCCTCACCCCATGGGCCAACTCTGCCCCCCTTACCCCTAACCCACCTCTTAGAATCTCAGATCCCAGCGTGGACAGGACCCGGCACCCACCCTGGTTCCCTCCTGGCCAACACCTTCTTCTCCACGGTCTGAGTTCTGATTCCTCCCCCAGGGCGCTTATTGGCTCAGGACCCCTGTGACTGCCAGGGCACTGGTCCCAGCACTGCCTGCGTGCAGAGCTGTGGTCACGGCCCTGGGGGCTGGCCCAGCAGCAGAGGCTGGTGGGGCAAAGCTGTCTGGTACACGGTGGCCTGGCCCCTCGGCCAAGTGACAAAGGGAGCCATGTTTGGGTCCTCTCTGGCCCCATCTGCCCACAGAACACAGCAGTCAGCCTGACAGATGCCCCTCTGCCCCGTCCCTTCTGCTCGATGTGGGCAGTGTCGGAGGCCTGCTGTCTTCTGTGGCCTTTGGGAAGGAGAGTTTATCTTGGCAGGGCTTCCCCAGCTCAGTGCACGTCAGGCCCTCGGGGAAAATGTGGGGAGCGAAGAGTCACTGGTGGGTGATGTGGGCAGCTCCCGTGACTCCTCTACATTCACGGCCATCCTCAGGAGATAAGGTAGCACTGCCCCTTTGCAGGGTTTAGGAATGTTAAGTGAGCCGTGTTTGAAGGGAACATGGTCCATACTCTGGCGTGTGTGGGTGCCCAGCCAACTTCCTCACCTAAGGGTGAAAGTGACACCTTGGGGCTCCTACTGGTTACCCCACTGGCTGTTGTCTATCCTACTGTCCCTGTCCTTGTCTTGGCTGAGCCATTCCTAGGAAGCAGAACTTGTGCTTCCTCCACCTCTGTGTCCCACCTGAGCCCTACAATCTGCCCCTAAATGGGCACAGTGGGGCTGACTGGGGGGCTCTGGTAGACTGAACATACGTCCCCCGCCCAGTTCCTGTGCTGAAGCCCTAACCCCCAACGTGATGGTATTTGGAAATGGGGCCTTTGGGAGTTATTCAGGGTTAGAAGAGACCATGAGGGTGGGGCCCTAATGATGGGATTAGGGCCCTGGTAAGAAGCAGAGACCCCAGAGCTCTCTCTCTCCCTGACACAAGGACACAGTGAGAAGGCGGCCATCTGCAAGCCAGAGAGAGAGCCCTCACCAGAACCTTGCCCACTGGGATGCTAACCTCGGACTTCCAGCCTCCAGACTGTGACAAATACATTTCTTTTTTTAATATGTGCCACCACCCCCAAGTCTATGGCACTTTGTCCTAGCAGCCCTATGTGACTAGGACAAAGTCCATAATCTCAAGAACTTCCTTCATGACTGGTATCTGGAAACCGTGCATCAGAGCCACGGGAAAGAAAGGCTCAGCCCTTTACAACTGTCAGCACACCTCCACCCCAAGTGCAGTGTATCACACGTGAACCAGGAGAGCCTGGGACGCAGTGAGTTGTGCTTCAGTTAATGTAGAGAACTTCACTGAACCGCACATAACCATTGAAGTAACCTGCTGTTTACAGTCTCCATCATGTTCTGCCAAGAGAGTTATTTTACAGTGACAAAACTTCTCTTCTGGTGCCCTGACACATCCTAGGACTTTGATGCTGGTAATTCTTTCCCCCCAGCAAATTTTGGTTCTAAATCCACAGAACTACTTGAGAAACTAGATGCAAAATTGTAGTAGGTTTAAAATATCAATACTCTTTTTTTTTTTTTTTTTTTTTTTTTAGGCAGAGTCTCTCGCTCTGTCACCCAGGCTGGAGTGCAGTGGCGCGATCTCGGCTCACTGCAAGCTCCACCTCCCGGATTCACGCCATTTTCCTGTCTCAGCCTCCCGAGTAGCTGGGACTACAGGCGCCCACCACCACGCCCGGATAATTTTTTGTATTTTTTAGTAGAGACGGGGTTTCACCGTGTTAGCCATGATGGTCTCGATCTCCTGACCTCTTGATCCGCCCGCCTGGGCCTCCCAAAGTGCTGGGATTACAGGCGTGAGCCACCGCACCCGGCCTATCAATATTCTTTATATGTTTTGCTATTCCCATTTAAAAGAGGGAAACTGTAGCTATACACTTTCTAGTCATGTTCTTTGGTGATTTTCCTGCACAAACCAACATTGTTCTTCAGAAATATAATTTCCCCTAGAATTACCCTCCATCCAAAACATATTGTTATTCTATCACAGAGATAAATAATGGCTTTCCAAATCCTGGTTAAAAAAACCAAACACTCTCTTCTTCTCTGTATTTTTCCAGAACAGGCATAGATGATGGCAATTGTGTTTTACCATCTTTTTTTTTTTCTGAGATGTTAGTTTTCTAGGATATGGAAATCTTAGGATTCATAAAAAATGAAACAACTTTTTGAAATGTTAGTTTTCCAAAATTGGACAATCTTTTTGAGCCATTCTATTTTTAGGACTATTCGTTAGCTGACTTTAGAGCCTTTAATGTTTCGTTATTATTTCAAACAATAGAGAACTTTACTCCCCCCCAAATTTTGAGACAGGGTCTGGCTCTGTCATGCAGGAGGCTGTCTGTAGTGCAGCGGCACAGTCTCAGCTCACTGCAACCTCCGCCTCTTGGGCTCAAGTGATCCTTCCACCTCAGCCTCCTGAGTAGCTGGGACTGTAGGTGCAGGCCACCACATCTGGCTAATTTTAAACAATAGAGAACTTCCAAAACAAAAGTTCTTTATTAATTCTTCAAGAAATCTGTTTTTTACTTAGTCGATTAATGTCCATCTCATGTTGCCTCAATAGCCCATGTATGAATCACTCTTCTTGCAGATTTTGTTCAGTTTTGTTGTATGTAGACCCATCTTTCTTTGAGTTGGTTTCTTTGATTGAGTTGATTTGTCTGTATTAAAACCCAAACAATACCTAAGCCAAAAAAGCAATGTAGGCACCTGTGAACTCACACACTTGGTTGCAATTGCTTCAGTAAAAAGGACAGTTTACACTCAAATTGAAGCAACCATTATGTTTCCACAAACAACATTCCTTATTATCCCACCTCACCTTTTCATTCTTCCTATGCTGTCTAATCTGATTCTGTACAAGAGATAAGGCAGGTACTGCTAAATGATAACTTAGATGCAGGGGCCATCATGAAAATATTCATCCCATATCTTACATTAAGCAAACTACTAGCAACTGTTTGTTAAAAAGTATAAATGAATAAATGAAAATAGGACAGATAGGCAGTGTGGGAAGCTAAAATATGGAAGTGTTATTGCTTTGCTTTATGTGGTATAATGATCTGATTTTATCTTCCCAGCTCTCCCAGGAAGTATGCAGAATAATATTTATCTCATATTGTGGGTGTGGCAATCAAGACAGAGAGGCTAGATGCTTTACCTAAAGTCATCCAACAAATATTTGGTAGAACCAGTGCTAGAATGCAATAAATGGAAACAGAGTTTATTTCGGTGTTTCTTTTCCTGATACTTGCCCTATTCCTGACAAATGAATAATGGCTTCAGAAGGTGTCACTTGTTGCTAGGGCTAAAAGGATAAATTTTACCTGTAATACCGTACCACTTACTATTAGTTAACGACCCAGTATTTATTCTCTTTTTTTCTTTGGAATCTTTGGAATGTGTAAATATTTGCCTCCCGGGAAGCTCACTTTATCCTCTCCTCAGGAAAAAATCCTGATTTGGTCTGAACCAATCTTGGTAACTATCTTTCTTGCCAGTTTTGTTTTAGGAATGGGCACGCAACTCAGTTCTAGCCAACGAGATATGAGGAGCAGTCTACTGGGGAGTTTCTGGGAAAGTTTGTTTTTCTTGTCCTAATAAACAAACAAATAATGGGGTCACTGGATTGGAGATCCTATTGAGTCAAAGGAATATTGAATTTGACACAGTAGAATAGTCTGGAAGGAAAGGAAATGATATTCAGTAAATGAAATGCTGAAAATTGATATTATGAAGGTGGCGCAGTAGTTGTTATTGATTAAATGAAACAGTTGAGATTAAGAAAGTTTAGCCAGGACAAGTTATATAGCACAAATCATTTCAGGTAAGGAAGTTAAAAAAAAACCCTGAGAGGCTAGGAAGTCCTGGCTCCAAACTCCTGCTCCTGCTGGACTTGAGCCCCACTAGCTTCTCATCTTCCACTAATCTATGCACCCCTCCTTTCCCACTCCTCAAAAGCCGAGCTCACTCAACAACTTTAATTTTATTCAAATAAATTATTTACACAGACATTTTGTTTTTAGTAGATGTTATTAGTGATTAGGAAAAATGAAAGAGATTGACATCTTTCAATTGACAGAGATGCCAATAATTTTAAGTATAATTTTTTAAACACTTTGTTCTTAAAATGAGAAAGAAATGTAAGGAAGGGATCACTAGCCTGGGCGTTAGCATGTCCGAATATGATAACTAAACCTGCTGCAATTATCTTGCAACCAGGGAGGAGCTAGCTTGAAAATAAAGCCAACACAGATGACAAGCAGAAAGTGGAAAGAACCTAAGTCGTTGATGATGCTATTGAGCTGATGAATTAAACCTGGAGTGTATGTTCCATGGGCTTCTGTAAGGAATTAAAATATTTTTACTGTTTAAACCAGTGTTTCATTGTTTTCTGCAGAAATCCTAATTGGCATAAAGAAACTATTGACCGACTAACCCCACTGCAACCTCACCTGACCCCTTAGGATGTCCTTTCATGATTTTCTTGATTTTGTTGAAGTTACGTATTGAGAATAATGGAAAATCACAGAAGGTGATTTTCTGATCCCAACTCCTTAGCTATGACCTTGTGTCTCTAGCTCATGATCATGGTTTATGAAGCACGGGAAGGACTGGGAAAAGTAGAAAGTAGGTAGGTAAGATGAGATGTCTGATGATGGAGGTTATTGGGGTCAGGACAGGTGGATAGGCAAGTTGAAGTGTGTAAGCTAAGCAGGAAATGCAAATGAAAATCAGAGAGAAGGTACCCCTTCAGAACAGATTCTTAGAAAGCCATTATTAGAAACATATGGGCCACATCTTTGAGAAAAGTTGTGGAATTCACATTACAGTAATGGCATCACTTAGATTCATGCTCTTCTCTCAGGGAGAGAAATCAATATTTATAGGATATCAAAGGGTCTTCATCATGTGTCTCAGTCTGTTTTTATTGCTATAAACAAATACCTGAGGCTGGGTAATATATAAGGAAAAGAGGTTTATTTGGCTCACACAATTCTGCAGGCTGTACGAGAAGCATGGCACCAGCATCTGCTTCTGTTGAGGGCCTCAGGAAGCCTCCATCGTGGTGGAAGGCAAAGGGGAACCCGTGTGTCACATGATCAGGGAGGAAGAGAGCAAGAGAGGGGAGGAAGGTATCAGATTCTTTTTAACAATAAGATCTCACAGGAAGTAGGAGTGAGAACATAATCCCATGAAGACAGCACCAAGCCATTCATGAGGGATCTGCCCCCGTAACCAAAACACCTCCCAGTGCGCCCCACCTCCAACATTGGGGATCAAATGTCAGCATGAGATTTGGAGGAGACAAACATTCAAACTTTATCATTGTGCTTGTTTTCTTCAGAAATAGACCGAATTGATATGTTTCATGATGACATTATGATCTAAAAATGAGAGTTTATTTCAGTTTGTCCTGTATACACCCAAGAGGTCCAGGATATTATTCTGTCTGTCTACCACAAGTCCTGCAAACTAGAAGATGGCCTTAACAGTCAATCTAGGGTGGTTCTGCCCAATGACCTTTTGTCTTTCCTCAGTGTCTTCCAAAGCACATAGTAATATTCTATCATGAATTATATGAAAGCTGTTTACATGGATTAAACAGTAAATCTGACAAACAGGCTGCTTTTTGATGACTCTAGACATATTTCTTCTTACATTTTAGACATTTGAGAAAAAAAGTCAAATTTCTTAATACTTTATGTTCAATTGAGTTTGAAGCCATAAAGAGGAAGGAAATAATAAGGATTAGAGCAAAAATAAATGAAATAGAGAATAGAAAAACAATAGAATCAATGAAACAAAAAATTAGTTCTTTGAAGAGATCAACAAAGTTGACAAAGCTTTAACTAGATTAAGGAAAAAGAATACTCAACTACTAAAATCAGAAATGAAAGACACTACTACTGATTTATAGGAATAAAAAGGATTGTAAGAGAATTCGTATAAGAGCTATATGTCAAAAAATTGGATAACCTAGATGAAACAGACAAATTCCTAGAAACATACAAACCAACAAAGTTGACTCAAGAACAAAGAATAAATCTGAATAGATCTATAAAAAGTAATGATATTCAATTCTGATTGAATCAGCAACCAAAACTCTCCTAACAAAGAAAAGCCCAGGAACTGATGACTTCGCTGGTGAATTCTACCAAACGTTTAGAAATGAATTAACACTAATCCTTCTCGAACTCCTCCAAAAAGTTGAGAAACAGAACCCTTTCTGAGTCATTCTATGAAGCCAACATTACCCTGATACCAAAGCTAGACAGACAATACAAGAAAACTATAGCCAAATGTCCCCTATGAATGCATTATAGATACAAAAATCCCCAACAAAATACTAGGAAATTAAATTCAGCAGCCCTTAAAAGAATTTTACACTATGACCAACTGAGATTTATCCCAGAAATTTAAGAGTGGTTTAACGTATGAAAATCAGTCGATGTAATACACCAAGTAATAGAATGAAGGAGTGAAAAACTCATGATCATCTCAATTGATATAGAAGAACATTTGAGAAAATCCATTCCTCCTTTATGATAGAACTGTTCAACAAACCAGGAATAGAAAGGAACTGTCTCAACATGATAAAGACCATGTATTAAAAACTCACGACTGACATCATTCTCAATGGGGAAAAATTTCAAGCTTTTCCACTAAAATCAGAAGCCATGGATGCCTGTGTTTGCCACTTCTATTCAACATAGTATTGGCAGTTCTAGCCAGACCCATCAGGCAAGAAAAAGAAATAAAATAAATCCAAATTAGAAAGGAAGAAGTAAAACTATCTCTATTTGCAAGTGATATAAGTGTAGAAAGCCCTAAAGAATACCAAAAATAGCCTCTTAAAGCTAATAAACAAATTTAGCAAGGCTGCAGAATACAAAATCAACACACAAAAATCAGTCGTGTTTCTACACACTAGCAGTACAAAATCTGAAAAGGAAATTAAGAATTTTTTATTTACAGTAGTACCCAAAAGAATAAAATATTTAGAAATCAATTTAACCAGGAAGGCAGAAGACTTGTACACTGAAAACTACAAAGCATTCTGGAAAGAAATTAAAGTAGACTTAAATAAATGGAAAGAGATCCTGTGTTCATAAGTTGGAAGACTTAATATTGTTAAAATGACAACGCTACTCAAAATGATATGTAGAGTCAATGTAATCACGCTAATAAAATCCCAACAGCGCTTTTGGCAGAAATGGAAAAACCTATTCTAAAATTCATATAAAATTTCAAGGAACCCAAAATAGCCAAAATAATCTGAAGAGGAACAAAGTTGTAGGACTCACATTTTCTGATATTAAAATTTACTACATAGCTATAATAATTGAAATAGCATGGACTTGGCACAGAGGTAGACAATATAGACCAATGGAATAGAATCGAGAGGCCAGAACTAACACTCACATCTATGGGTAATTAATTTTCAGCAAGGGTTCCAGGATCACTCAATGGGGAAAAGGACAATCTCTTCAACAAATGGTGTTGGGGAAACTAGATATCCACAAGCAAAAGAATGAAGTTGGACCTATACTTTTACACAATGTACAAACATTAACTGAAAATGGATCAAAGACCAAAATTTAATGCTATAAAACACTTAAATATTAAATGCTATAAAACTCTTAGAGGAAAACATACTGAAAAATCTTCATGACCTTGGGTTTGACAACGGTTTCTTAAATATAACATCAAAAGTACAAGTGATGAAACAACTGATAAATTGGACTTCATCAAAATTGTGTATCAAGTGACACTATAAAGAAAGTGAAAAGATAACACAAAAAATTGGAGAAAATGTTTGCAAATCATACATCTGACAAAAAACTAATATACTCAGGCATTTCTTTATGGCAATGCAAGAATGGCCTAATACAATACCCAAAAGAATTGAATGCATAAAGAATCCTACAACTCAACAAATAAAAGATAAATAACTCAATTTTTTAATGGACAAAATACTTAGACACTTCTCTAAAAAAAAGACATGTAAATGGTCAATAAGCAACTCAAAAGATGCTAAAACCACAATGAGATACCACTTTGTACCTACTAGAATGGCTATAATTAGAAGAAAAAATAACTAGTGTTGTTGAACATGTGGAGAAATTGGAAACCTAGTATACTGCTGGTGGGAATGTAAATGGTTTAACTGCTGAGGAAGATAGTTTGGCAATTCCTCAAAACGTAAAACAGAATTATCACCCAGTAATTCTACTCTTAAGTATATACCGGATATAGTTTGACTGTTTGTTCCTATGCAAATCTCATGTTGAAATGTAATTAATCTCCGGTGTTAGAGTTGGGGCCTGGTGGGAGGTGATTGGATCATGGGAGTGGTTTCTCATGAGTGGCTTCACCATCTCTAGCTGTCATCAAGATTGTGAGTTCTCACAAGATTTGATTGTTTAAAAGTGTGCAGCACCTCCCCACTTCCTCTCTTGCTCTGGCTTTTGCCACGTGACATACCTGCACCCACTTTGCCTTCCATCATGATTGGAAGCTTCCTGAAGCCTCCCTGGAAGCAGATGCTGCTATGCTTCCTGTACAGACTGCAGAAATGTGAGCCAACTAAACCCTTTTTTCTTTGGCACTTACCCAGTCTCAGGTATTTCTTTATATCAATGCAAGAATGGCCTAATACAATACCCAAAAGAATTGAAAACAACAACTTAAACAGTGACTTGTACACTAATGTTCATAGCAGCATTATTCACAATAGACAAAAGGTAGAAACAACCAAAATGTCTATCAAAAGATAAACGGATAGGCCAGGCACGATGGCTCACGCCTGTAATCCCAGTACTTTGTGAGGCCAAGGTGGGCGGATCACCTGAGTTCAGGAGTTCGAGACTAGCTTGGCCAACATGGTAAAACCCTGTCTTTAAAAAACAAACAAACAAAAAGATAAATGGATAAACAAGATGCAGTATATACATACAATTATTATTCAGCCATAGAAAAGAAGAATGGAATACTGATACATGCTATAAGATGGATGAACCTTGAAAACATTATGCTAAGTTAAATAAGCTAGACACAAAAGGATAGTGTATGATACCATTATGTGAAATATTTACAATAGGCAAATTCATAGAGACAGGAGGTAGATTAGAGGTTACCAGAGGTTACCAGGGGCTGGAAGGAGAGGAAAATGGGAGTTTTTGCTGAATAAGCACAGTTTCTATTTGGGGTGATGAAAGGGCTTTGGTAATAGATGGTGGTAACGGTTGCACAACATTGTAAATATAATTAATACCACCAAATTGTACAGTTAAAAATGATTAAAATGGCAAATTGCATATGTCTTTCTCCGTTTGTGTTGCTATAAAGGAATACCCAAGGCTGGGTAATTTATAAAGAAAAGAGGTGTATTTAGCTTATGATTCTGCAGATTGTACAAGAAGCATGGCACTGGCATCCACATCTGGTGAGGGCCTCAGGCTGCTTCCGCTCATGTCAGAAAGGGAAGGCAAGCCAATGTGTGTGGAGATCACATGGTGAGAGAGGAAACAAGAAAGAGGGGGGTAGTGCTAGGCTCTTTTAACAACTAGCTCTTGGCCAGGTGAGGTGGCTCATGCTTGTAATCTCAACACCTTGGGAGGCTGAGGTGGGAGAATCTCTTCAGCCCAAGAGTTCAAGACCAGCCTAAAAAAAAAAAAAAATCCCATAAAACCTAGCTCTCACAGGAACTAAGAGACCAAAAACTCACTCACCTGCAACCCAGGGAGAATATTAATCTATTCATGAGGGATCTGCCCCATGAGCCAAATACCTTCCATTAGGCCCCACCTCCAACACTGGGTATCCAATTTCAACATCAGATTTGGAGGGTCAAATACCTGGGCTACATACCCTTGTCTCTAGAAAAAATATATAAAATTTAGCTGGGTGTGGTGACACATACCTGTAGTCTCAGCTACTTTGGAGGCTGAGGCAGGCGGATCATTTCGGCCCAGAATTTCGAGGCTACAGTGAGCTATAATCAGGCCACTGTACAACAGCCTGCAAGACAGAATGAGACCCTGTCTTTAAAAAAATAAAAATAAAAATAAATTAATTACTTTTAAAAAGACCTTGTATTGCAAGTTGGTAAACATAAGTACATTTGTTGGGACTATGAAATTATTCACCCACAGGATCAATGTTACAAATTGGTATTTGCATCTCAATTTAGTTTGTTCAACCCAGAATTCACATTTGCCATAAAACTGTAGTCAATAATTCAATTAAACTACTGATAACCAAAGGGGAAAGCAACATATTGAATCAAAAATAGTTTTATCAACTGGTGTCACCAAAGAAAAGCAGGTTTCACTAGTGTTGAGAAAATAGAAAGTTTTCTATTGATTATGGAGAAATTTCAGTTCAGTTTCTAGAAGGTTAAATGCCCCAATTTTTTTTTTAATGACTGGGTTAAACTAAATAATGGCCTCCATTATTTCCATATGCAAATCCTCAGAACCTATCACTGTTACGTTATATGGCAAAAGAGAATTTGCAAATGTGATTAAGTCAAGGATCTTGAAATTGGGAGATTATCCTGGGTTATCTGATGTCCCCAATGTAATCACAAGGATCTTTATAAAAAAGGAAATGTGAGACAAAGGGAGAGAAGGTGATGTGATGAAGTAGAGGTCAGAGTGATGCGGGGGCTAGATCCAAGGAATGTGGGCAGCCTCTAGAAGCTGAGACAGACAGGGAAATGGATTCTCCTCCTAGAGCCTCCAGAAGGAAAGCAGCCTTGCCAACCCATTTGAAACTTCTGATCTCCAGATCTATACAACAATACATCTGTGTTGTTTTTTTTTATTTTTATTTTTTTAGGGACAGGTCTTGCTCTGTTGCTCAGGCTAGAGTGCAGTGGCATGGTCTGGGCTCACTACAGCCTCAACCTCCCAGGCTCAAATGATCCTCCTGCCTCAGCCTCCTGAGTAGGTGGAGCTACAGACATGTGCCACCACACCTGGCTAATTTTATTTTTTATTTTTTGTAGAGATGGGGTCTCACTATGTTGCCCACCCTGGTCTCCAACTCCTGGGCTCAAGCAATCCTCCTGCCTCAGCCTCCCAAAGTGCTGGGCTTATAAGTGTGAGAGTCACAGTTCCTGGCCCATCTGTGTTATTTTAATGTTTAAGTTTGTCATAATCTGTTACAGCAGCAATAAAAAACTAACAAAATGACTAATTTTACTTCCAAACCCATTGTCTCCCTCCCTTAAAATAATTTTATCACAATAGCTATTTTTATATTACAGTCACACACCACATAATGACCTTTTGGTCAATGACAAACTTCATATACAGTGGTAGTTCCTTAAGATTACAGTGGAGCTGAAAAATTTTTATTGCCCAGATATGTCAGAGCTGATCATTGTACAACACATTACTTACATATTTGTGATGATGCTGGTGTAAACGAACCTACTGTGCTGCCAGTCCTATAAAAGTATAGTACATACAATATGTACAGTACATGGTACTTGATAATGATAATAAACGACTGCGTTATGGGTTTATGTACTTGCTATATTATACTTGTCTTATTATTTTAGAGTGTCTTTTTTATACTTAAAAAAAAGTTAACTGCAAAACAGTCCTTCAGGAGGTGTTCCAGATAAGGCATAGTTACCATAGGAGATGGCAGCTCCATGCATGTTACTGCTCCTGAAGACCTTCCAATGGGAGAAGATAGGGAAGTGAAAGACAGTGATATTGAAGACCCTGGCCCTGTGTAGGCCTAGTCTCATGTGTAATGTGTGTTTATGTCTTTTTGTTTTTTGTTGTTTTTTTGAGACTAGGTCTCACTATGTTGGCCCACGCTGGAGTGCAGTGGCTGTTCACAGGTGCAATCATATTGCACTGCAGCCTTGAACTCCTGGCCTTGGACAATCCTCCCACCTCAGACTTCTGAGTAGCTGGGATTATAGGCTTGCACCATAGCACCTGGCTATGTCTTCATTTTTAAACAAAAAAGTTTGAAAGTAAAAAATAAATAAATAAAAATTTTTAAATAGAAGAAAGCTTATAGGCTGTGTGCAGTGGCTCATACCTGTAATCCCAGCAATTAGGGAGGCTGAGGCAGGCAGATCACTTGAGGCTAGGAGTTTGAGACCAGTCTGGCCCACATGGTGAAACTCTGTCTCTATTAAAAATGCAAAAATTAGCCAGGCATGGTGGCACACTCCTGTGTCCTAAGCTGCTCGAGAGGCTGAGGCATGAGAACTGCTTGAACTTGGGAGGCGGAGGTTGCAGTGAGCCAAGATCATGCCACTGCACTCCAGCCTGGACAACATAGTGAGACTCTGTCTTAAAAAAAAAAACAAAAGAAAAGAAAATGAAAAAGAAAAAACCTCACTGTAGCCTCCACCTCCTGGGCTCAAGCAATCCTTGCACCTCAGCCTCCTAAGTAGCTGGGACCACAGGCACACACCACCACACCCAGCTAATTTTTTTTTTTTTTTTTTTTTTTTTTTTTGGTACAGACAGGGTTTCATCATGTTGCCCAGGCTGGTCTTGAACTCCTGGGCTCAAGAGATCCTCCTGCCTCTGCCTCCCAAAGTGCTGGGATTACAGGCATGAGCCACTGTGCCTGGCCTAAGTGTACCACTTTATATCTTCTATAGTTTACTTTTACTGTACCTTTTCTACATTTAGGTACACAAATATTGACCATTATGTTACAACTGCTTACAGTATTCAGTACAATAATAGGCTGTCCAGGTTTGCAGCCTAGGAACAATAGACAATGCCATATATAGCCTAGATGTGTTGTAGACTATACCATCTCTGTTTGTGTAAGTGCACAGTATGATGTTTGCACAACGATGGAATCACCTCATGATGAATTTTTCAGACTATATCCTTGTTAAGTAATGCATGACCTTAATCAGGAATGAGTCACAGCAATACTGTAATCTTGATGAAGATGTTGATGTAGATAATACTCCCATTTACAATGCACTTGCCAAATACAAGGCATTGCACTGAAAGCTTTACAGACTTTATTTTAAAAAATTTTACAACCTTTTAGGTAAGTACCATTAACCACTTTTACAGATCAGAAAACAGGGTCTATGAGGTGAAATAATTTGTCATACAGTGGTGATGTAAATATGCATATAATGAAACAGAATAGGCAAGTCAGAAGTGATTTTTGTATTTCTTTTAATAGATTAAGGGTACTTACTATCAGCAAAAGAGTGAAAGTCTGACAGAAAAGAAAAAGATGGAAAGAAATGTGGGGATGTGCAATTCCTTATGTTGGTTGGTTCAGCAGAGCTTTGCCATTGTTCAGATGGAGTTTAGGCAAGCAAAAGACGACCAGCCATTGCTGGGTATTTGAACATCAGATGTTCATAAGGCTTAGGTATTCTTAAAAGAAAAATTTATTCTCTTAAAAATTCTGAAAAAAAGTTCTCTGTATTAAAACTTCATAATGAACATTGCCACATTGTATATTAGGCACAGATATTATTTGTTGGAGTTTTTGGTAATTGTTATTTTTGTAACTGGAATATTTAATATATGTTTTATATATATTTATTTTATTTATTTATTTTTTGAGATGGAGTCTCACTCTGTCGCCCAGGCTGCAGTGAAGTGGCACGATCTTGGCTCACTGCAACCTTTGCCTCCCAGGTTCAAGTGATTCTCCTGCCTCAGCCGCCCGAGTAGCTGGGACTACAGGCACGTGCCACCACGCCCAGCTAATTTTTTGTATTTTTAGTAGAGACGGGGTTTCACTGTGTTAGCCAGGATGGCTTCGATCTCCTGACCTCGTGATCCACCCACCTTGGCCTCCCAAAGTGTTGGGATTACAGGCGTAAGCCACCGCTATATATTTTGCAAACAATAGCAAATCTAGAGGAAATTCTTTGAAGTAAGAAGCAGTGGTACTTAAAACTGGCTACTTGTATTTATCATCTCTGTTTCAGTTTTTTAAGAAATTCAAAATTTTTACAGAGAGTTGATAAAAACATTTGATGATTTGGGGTGCAGATGAAGGATGGCTGGTATTTGAAAAATAAATAAATAAAGGCCTTCCTTGATTCTTAATGTTGAGACTGAAGGCTTCATTGGAGTTTCTTCCTCAGCCTGAATTCCAGTGATAATGTGTCTGTTCTTGACATGAGCAATAACTGGAGTACTTAGGATTAAACAAAATATTAGATGTGCCGGGCCAGAGGAGGTGAGGAAAGTCTAAAGTGATAAGGTGCTAGTCAGCTCAGAGTGGCTGTTTTAGATAGTGTAATACAGCAGACTAGAAACTTGTCGGAAAGGAAAGGTACCAGGCAGGAGATAAATGTACACCCACCTTAGCTAATGTAAGGAGCTGAAAACTCTATTTTGAATTTTTATCCTAAACATGGAAATAACATCCTTATGAGAAATTGAACACTAAATAGACATATTAAACCAATTTTGCTTATTGAGACATCTGTTCATTCATTTATTCAACAGCTATTTACTGAGTGGATACTTGGTAGTTTTTAGGCCTTAGAATTAACCCAAGACAAACTTGTGAGGTAGGAAGTTGCATCTCAGTCATCTCACTACTTTGCTCTTTCTTGAGACTTCAGCCTTCCCTTTCCTCCCTCAGGTTTTGGAGCTTAGAAATTAATAATATTAAAGCTTCAATGACAAGACTGTTTAAAATAAAAAATGGTTGGGCTGGGCACGGTGGCTCATGCCTGTAATCCCAGCACTTTGGGAGGCTGAGGCGCACAGATCACAAGGTCAGGAGATCGAGACCATCCTGGCTAACACGGTGAAACTCCATCTCTACTAAAAATACAAAAAACTAGCTGGGCGTGGTGGCAGGCACCTGCAGTCCCAGCTACTTGGGAGGCTGAGGCAGGAGAATGGCATGAACCCGGGAGGTGGAGCTTGCAGTGAGCTGAGATGGCGCCACTGCACTCCAGCCTGGGCAACAAAGCGAGACTCCGTCTCAAAAAAAAATAAAATAAAATAAAAAGTAAAATAAAAAAATAAAAAAAAATTGTTGTGTTCAGTGGGAGATAATGTGTTAAGGAAAGAAAGATGTTAAGTTCTACTACTTGTAGATAGGTGGAATTATTGTGTCCTTTGTATTGTTTTTGCTTTCCTGTCATAAGATATTCCTTGGTTTAATACCATAATAAATACATAAAAATACACATAAGAAACTAAACAATAAAAAGAATGTGTTAAATAATTTTTTTTTTTTACCATTTCAGGTTTTTTTTCTTTCTAATTCAGTTAATCAGTCCCGCTTTGCTTGTTTGTCAAGGTTCTTCAACTTGCTTAAAAACTTTTTCAAATTGGTCAAAAATTAATCTTTCAAATTACTACAGGCTTACAAAACTTTTATGCACCATGCAAACATCATGAGATGTAGTATGGGAGGTAAGGAATATTTAACCTGCTTCAAACTTTAAGTATTGGACATTTGGATTGTTTTCCACTTTACCCCGTTACCGACAAAGTGGAGCAGACATAACTGATTAATATTTTTAACCAAATATTTTGACTTAAGTATCGAATTCCTTTGGGGTCTTGAAGGATATAATACACTATGAAAGAAAAGTAGAAGGTGCTGATGATACAACGAATTAGGAGGACCTATTTTGTCGTGGGAACTTTAGAGAAGACTTTTTGAAGAAGAGTCACATGTCCTACCTCAATCAGTCTACAAGCGCAAGGAAACAACTTAGAGTTCGACAAAGTCATATTTATAGATTCATTGCAGTGAGGGAGATCACACACAGAACTGTGAGGCATCTCACTCACCAAACAAGGACAAGATAATCATTACAGGATTTGGGGGAAGAGTAGAGTTTGGGTGAGATTTAAATGAAACCATTTAAGTGGCTTTTGATGAACTCAAAGCAAATCAGGAGTCAACATCAGGTCTGGGCAGGATCCAGGGGTCTGCTTCCTTGAAAACTAGAAAGTTAAGACAGATATGGATTATTGTGTCCAGAAGCCCTTTTCTTAAGCTCTGTGGCTGGAATGGAAATGGAGGCTGATTCTCTGTGTCAAAGTGTTTTAGAGTCTCCAAGACACTATGATGTTTTATGTTATAATAATATAATTTCAAAGAACAAAGTTTCTTAGCAAGTAAGAAAACAGTAATCACTCAAAGAATGGGGTTGTTATGAAGCTTTATCGCATGTCTTTGGGATAACTAGTTTCCCGTAAACTTTGCAGCTAGTTTTATCAATGTTTATTAATCCAGCTTGATGAGTGATGGAACAGATTTTTACTTTCTAAGTCCTAGCAAAAGCTTTCCCTAAAAAGAGAGGACCAACCAAGAGACAGGGGAAAATAACTTTCTGGAAAGAACAAAAAAACAAGCATGAAGGTTGTGAGCTGGTTCTGGACACATTTAAGACCCTAAAAACCAACAGGACAATGACACAGGCAACAAATGATTTGAAATGATGGAGAGATAGGGGCAGATCTTTCAGGAAGCTGCTAGCCTTAGTTAGGATTTTGCATTTCATCAAAGAGTAGAGGGAAGTCACTAAAGGATTCTAATCAGGGGAATTACCGAATCTTCATCTTCTAAGATAGAGAATGCATTGTCATAGGCAATAGTGGAAGGTAGATGACCGTTTGGAAAGTTGTTGCAAGAGAGGATGATAGTTTATACTAGGGTGGCAGCAGTAAAGAAGGCAGAAATGGAGAGATTCAAGACAAAATTTTAGGTAGAACCAAATGGTCTTAGTGAGAGTTTGAATGTGTAACATGAGGGAGATGGAGTCAGGGATAATATCCAGGTTCTGGCTTGAATATCCGAGTAGAAGGTGGCATCATTAGGATGTGGAAGACTGGAGGTGAGGCAGGATTGATGGAAAAGAACAAGTACAGCTGTAGACATCTTACATTTGTGCGACATTTAAGTAAGAATGCCTTGAAAGCATTTGGGTATTTGGATCTGAGGTTGAGAAGAGAGGATTGAGTTGGTGCTAAATATGGAGTCATAAGTATATATTCAAAGCCATGGAAAAAAAAGTAACATGAGAAGAGAAAAAGGATCAGGACCAAGTCTAAAGGAACTACCAAATCCAGAGGTGAACAGGAGGACAGGAGCCAGCAAGGAAGCCCAGGCACCATGAAGATGGCTGAATTCACTTATGAAAAGCTTGGTTTGATGCTTTGATGTTAACTCAGTTGTACTTGTCATCAATTTCTTAGAGAATCGAGAGCTGAAACATATTCTGAACTGCCTTCTATTTTTATTCACTGCTTTGTATTATCTGTAGTCATCTAGTTAGACAATTCCTTTCCTGCAATGCCTGTGATGGAAGCCAGGAAGCATTTATTTCTTTGCGAAGCATTTGGAAAATATAAACATGGCCGGGCGCGGTGGCTCATGCCTGTAATCTCAGAACTTTGGGAGGCCGAGGTGGGCGGATCACGAGTTCAGGGGATGGAGACCATCCTGGCTAACACGGTGAAACCCCGTCTCTACTAAAAAAATACAAAAAAATTAGCTGGGCATGGTGGTGGGCGCCTGTAGTCCCAGCTACTCGGGAGCCTGAGGCAGGAGAATGGCGTGAACCTTGGAGGCGGAGTTTGCAGTGAGCCGAGATCGCGCCACTGCACTCCAGCCTGGGCGACAGAGCGAGACTCTGTCTCAAAAAAAAAAAAAAGAAAAATATAAACATGCAAATGACATCTTATCACAGCACTGAACAGATGTTTTAAATTGTATTTATTTATTTATTCATTTATTTATTTAGACGAAGTCTCGCTCTGTTGCCCAGGCTGGAGTGCAGTGGCGCGATCTCGGCTCACCGAAACCTCCACCTCCTAGGTTCAAGCGATTCTCCTGCCTCAGCCTCCCGAGTAGCTGGGACTACAGGCACGTGCCACCATGCCCGGCTAATTTTTGTATTTTTAGTAGAGACAGGGTTTCACCATATTGGCCACCGTGTTGGCCAGGCTGGTCTTGAACTCCTGACCTTGTGATCTGCCCACCTCGGCCTCCCAAAGTTCTGGAGGCGTGAGCCACCGCGCCAGGCCATTTTTAATTTTATTTTAAGCCTGTGTTCTAACCACATCATTTACCTGCAGGTCCTTGGATACAATATGTACTTTTGAGTCTGAGTCTGTGCTCACGTTGTTCCTTCTGCTTAGAATGGCCTCTCTTTCCCCTTCTCTACCTAATCAAGTCCTACTTAACTTTTAAAACCCAGCTCTAGTGGCATGCTCCTCTCTGAGCCTTTTGTTGTTCTAATAAGGCGTAACTAATCACTCCTCCTAAATACACTCACAGTATCCAGCTCATTCCATTAGTACAGATCTTTTCATGTTTTACTTTGCTAAGGTATAGACAAATATATCTGTCTCTACCATTGGACTGTAAGGTTCTTAAGTGACCATGAGTTATTCAACTTTACGTCCCTCATACAGAGAACAAATCTTGTTGAATTTACTTGCATGTAATTGGAGATGACATGGCAAAGAATAATGTGGATATATCCTGCTCAGCTTCAGATAAACGCTATGACATATGTAAACAAAATATTCAGCTAACTTTTAAACTTTACATCCAATTTTGACTTATATAGGATGTAAACTGCATACATGTACATATGCTTCAGACCTTTGAACATGCTGCTTTCTGTCTGGCATATGCCCCTATCTTCTCTCTCCCACACAAGTCCACCCATCTCTCAATTTTAGTTTATAGGCTTTTTTTTTTTTTTTTTTTTTGAGACAGATTCTTGCTCTGTCGCCCAGACTAGAGTGCAGTGGTACGATCTCGGCTCACTGCAACAACCACCTCCCAGATTCAAACGATTCTCGTGCCTCAGCCTGCCGAATAGTTGGGATTACAAGTGTGTGCCGCCACGCCCATCTAATTTTTTCTATTTTTAGTAGAGATGGAGTTTCACTGTGCTGGTCAGGCTGATCTTGAACTCCTGGGCTCAGGTGATCCACCTGCCTCGGCCTCCCAAAGTAAGCCCGGCCATTTTTTTTTTAAGAGATAATATCTCAGTCTGTGACAGACTGGAGTACAATGGCGCTATCAATTTTAGTTCTAACTAAACTGTCAACAAAATCTTTGACTACCTTCTCTCTCTACCTCAAGATAGCTTGCTCAATTGCAATGTCACCCTGCACTCTCATTTTACAACACACATCATCTTTTAGTTTCTCAGTAAGTGTTGCTTTCTCTCTACAACTGAAAGCTCCAGGAGGCAGGGACAAAACCTGTAGTTTTTCTTTTCTTTTTTTCTTTTTTCAGCAAAGGGAGGGCTGATTTTTTAACTTTTTGAAAATAGATGAAAGTAAACAATAAAATAATAAAACCTCACATGCCATCGCTCAGCCTCAGTAACCATCAACCCATGGCCAATCCTGTCCCTACTGCAACCCTGCCCATTCCCTACACTCACACATTATTTTGAAGTAAGTCCCAGACAACACATGATTTTATTTGTAAATATTTCAGTCTGTTTCTGAAATGACTCCTTTTTGTAACATAACCACAATGTCATTATTACACCTAAGAATGAATAATATACCTCTTTAATATCATCAACTATCCAGGCAGAATTCAGATTTTTAATTATCTCTTTCAGACAATCTTTTTAATGTCTTTTCTTGAATCAGGATACAAACAAGGTTCACACATTGAGATTGGCTGGTAGTCTATTGTCTCTTTTTACCTACCGATTCACCTTCTATTTTTTCTTTTTGTTTCATCACTTATAAATATAAATACTATTTTTTTAATAGCTATGTCTCCAGTTCCTCACCCAGTCTTGGTCATAGCAGGTTTTAGATAAATATTGTATTTGATGAATAAATGAATGAATACAAGTAATGCATAATTGAGAAATCTCAGGAGATACCAAAAGAAATGTAATTTAATAATAATCTTTGATTTCTCTGATCTCATATTTCTTCAATGTTCTCTAAATTTAAAATTTTATTTGATACATAATAAATGCATACTTTTGAGGCAGAAAGTATTATTCTCTGAAACATTTCTAAGAAATTAATTTACCCTGGAATTGTCATAATTAGTTAATTTTAACTACTTCCCCTATATAAAATTGGTGACTTGGGCAGCAAGACAAAAAAGGTTTCTATTGTTAAGTAAGACTTATTTTTCTTCCTCAAGAAATCATCACTAGTAAGCATTGCAACCTTTACTTTGCTATTGTTAGATGTGGCAACAACTCGTGCTGGACTCGAGAAAATTGTGCAAGCTTGAATTAAATAATTGCTTCTAAATTTGCTTATAAGGAAGTTTATTGTCTTACCAGGGACTAACACTACAAATATGGAAATGGAGTCAAGCAGTGATTCAATGTAGATAACATAATTGGAAACTGGGAGAAAGAATGTTCATTCAACAATCGAGAAAAACTAAAATAAAAGTTAAACTTTACTTCATCAATGCTGGGTCCAAATTAATTAATGAAAACAGAAATAAAACTATGCTTCCTAGGATAATATTGACAGTATTTTTAAAAGTTTATTATTTTTTAAAAAGATTATTATATGAAGAGTAAAAGTCTTTCTATCTCTCTAGCCTCCCTTATTCAGATTTTCAGAGGTAAAAGCATTGTTTCTTATATATCCAGGCATTTTCCTATCAGAATGTCCAACATATGTATATTTATATATAGTCATGCACCTCATAATTACATTTAGGTCAATGGCAGGCCACATGTATGATAGTGGATGGTCCCATAAGATTATAATTGAACTGAAAATTTCCTATCATGTAGTGACATGGTAGCTTTCATAACCTGGTAACACAGCGTATTGCTCACAGGATTATAGTGATGCGATGCAGACAAACCTACTGCACTGTCAGCTATGTAAAAGTATGGCACATACAATTATGTACAGTACATAATACTTAATGATAATAAGTGACTATGTTACTGGTTTATGTATTTACTATACTATACTTTTTATCATTATTCTAGAGTGTACTCCTTCTACTTATTAAAAAAAAGTTAACTGTAAAACAACCCCATGAAGAGTAATATATTCTAGATACACTTCTGTACTTGCCTTTCACACAGTTGATCATGTTGTTCAAATTGTCCAGATTTGGGCATTAGTAGCTCCTTTAAGTTGGCTCCGATGTCTTGTAGACTTGGCCCCCATTATTTTGTGAACATGTCTTTACTTTCTGGCACTTTAAATGGTCTAAGCTCATCTTGCATTCCTCCTGCTCTAGTCTGGACTCAGTCATTTCCCCAGGGAGCTCTGGTTCCTTTCATCGAGAATGGTATTTAGAAACCAAGATCTGGAAACTAGTTGTGCTCATTGCTACTGGGATCTCACTGCATGTATATCCATGAGTTCACACTGATATTCCTGCTCTGATTTCAATCTGGAGTTTGTGCTACTTCACAATTTCTCTATTTTAACTCTTTTATCTGACAGAAAACTGGCTCTCAATATCCACAGTGTATTTCTTAATTACTCAATCCTAGTATATACATAAAGTAGTTTCAGAAATACTAACCCATACCCTATGAAAAACAAATTTACTAAAGTACAATATTTTCATACAGTTCTTTCTGTTTTTAGCCTTCTAGTATATGGTTAAAATAATGTTCTCCAGGTTATGTTAGATAATTCTTTTATTTTTTATCCCATTTAGTATAATTATGTCATTTATTTGTAATACAGTTGGGCTTATTTGTTACTGCTTATATTCCATTTTGGGTCTTCCCTTCCCCAACATCCTGGTTAATTTTAATTATTTATTTTTTTGGGGGGGGGTGAAACATTACCATATTTATAGGAATTAGAGCTATGCATATAGGAATACTCTGAGTGTGTCACATCTCTCTAATCATTTCTACCCATTTTTATTCCCCAATTTTTCCACGCTGATCCTACTTAACCTCTGTAGGTGACGAATCTCATTTGTTTCTAGTTTAACTTTCCAGTATGTTTTTCCTCATATATGTGGATATATGTATATTTTCTTATATATACTTCTTTCTTACATGAAGAGTAGTATACTCTAGATATTCTTCTGTACTTTGCTTTCCACATAAGAATATACCTTGGAAATCTCTGAATATGAATCCATAGAGCTCTTCCTCATTTATTTTATAGCTGCATAGTGCTCTCTTGTGTGAATTGTTAGAGTTTATTTAAAAACCACTGTTCTATATATGAGTATTTAATTTGTTTCTTAAATTTAGCAATTATATATAATCTTACAATGAATAAACTTGTACATATGTTTTTCATATTGTTGGATATGTATCTTCAGGGTAGATTTTATAAGTGAGATTATAGGGCTCCTTATGTAGTTATATTAGGTATTGCCAAGTTTCCATTGAGAAGGGTTGTAGCAGTTTGTATTCCTTAACAGCAATGAAAAGAGTGATTATTTTCCTAAGATCTGGCTAACAAAATGTGTTGTCATATTTTAATTTATTACATTTTATTAGTTAAAATTTTATTTTAATTTTTACCCATCTGATAGGTGAGAAATAATAGCTTAGCATTTTTTTAATCTGCATTTTTCTAGTTATGAATTTGCACTTTACAGGTATATATATGTATTTTTCTTTTTAAAAAATTGTATTTTAAGTTCTGGGGTACATGTGCAGGACATGCAGGTTTATTACGTAGGTAAATGTGTGCCACGGTGGTTTGCTGCACCTACTAACCCATCACCTAGGTATCAAGCCCTGCATGCATTAGCTATTTATCCTGATGCTCTCCCTCTTCCCAACCCGCTGACAGGCCCGAGTGTGTGTTATTTCCCTCCCTGTGTCCATGTGTTCTCAATGTTCAGCTCACACTTATGAGTGAGAAACATGAGGTGCTTGGTTTTCTGTTCCTGTGTTACTTTGCTGAGGATGATGGCTTCCAGCTTCATCTGTGTCCCTGCAAAGGACACGATCTCATTCCTTTTTATGGTTGCATAATATTCCATGGTGTATATGTACCACATTTTCTTTATCCAGTCTACCATTGATGGACATTTGGGTTGATTCCATGTCCTTGCTCCTGTGAATAGTGCTGCAGTAAACATACACATGCATGTATCTTTATAATAGAATGATTTATATTCCTTTTGGTATATACACAGTAATGGGATTGCTGGGTCAAATGGTATTTCTGGTTCTAGATCCTTGAGGAATCACCACACTGTCTTCCACAATGCTTGTACTAATTTACATTCCCACCAACAGTGTAAAAGCATTCCTTTTTCTCCACAGCCTCGCCAGCATCTATTGTTTCTTGACTTTGAAAAGTGATTATATGTATATTTACGGATCACTTTTTCAACAGCCTTGTTAAGGTTGTGGAGACAAAAACCACCCCATCTTGGATGCTAATCCACCATGTTGACTTCTGATTAGACCCAGTCCCATGAATAACTTCTGGTTTCTACTTTATTTACTGTCCCTAGTATAAGATCAAAACAACCCTGATGTTATCACACAAATTATAGGCTAGGACACACATAGCATTTTCGCCTGTTCTGGAGGGTTGCCTTTAATCGTTTTTGCTGGAGCATGTGTACCCTTTCCATACGGTACCCAAACCTTGGGTCTGGGAAATAACAGTGTGGAGATCTACCTGTCTTGCAGTCATCCAAGATCACACTTCTGTCCATAAGTTCCTCAGTAAATCACCCATTACTGACGAACTGGATTTGTTCACTTCCTTCTTTGGTTTCTGGGCTTCTTCAGCATTTGGGAATAGCTTTGTGTGCACAGCCTTTTCACAGAACAAAGATATGACCTACTTTCTGTTTCTATAGAGTTGTTAAAGCCATTTGTGTGTCTCTGTGTGTGTGTGTGAATTGTCTATTGATGCCCTTTTCCCATTTTTTCTAATGGGTGCTTGGTGCTTGATCTCTTAATTTCTAACAATTATTTACATATTAGGAATATTAGCCCTTTTCCTGTAATATATGTTGAAAGCATGTTTTTAACCTGGTTGTCAGTTGTCTTTTGACTTTGTTTATGATATTTATCATGCAGTTTATTTTTATGTTACTAGATTCATCAGTCTTTTATAAATGGCTTTTAGATTTAGATTTATAACCATTGCCAACTGCTGGCTCCTCCAGAAACCACCAAAATGGTTTACTGATGAACAAAAACCAAGTTTATTGCTCACTGCAGTAAGGAAGATGACTGTCTTCACATAATCTTAGTAGCCTCAGAAAAGGGAGTCAAGGGTGGGATATTGGTAAGCTTTGGGGAGTCTGGTTCTAAGGTATGTCTTTCAACATGAGGTGTGCAGTCCTGACTGGGATAGGGTAAAGTTTGGATTGCTGGATACAGTGAGGCAAGACCTATAAAGCCAGCCTTGAAAGGTAAACAGTCACTTGAAAACCCAGTTGAGTGATCTACTGTTCTGAAAAGAAGGCTGTTTAGCCCGATGAGGCTGTATGAGTACAGATACATAGATCGGAAAGTTTCCAGGACAAAAAAGTAATTTCAACTTTACTTTCTTAGGCAAGGATTTCTTGGAATAGTAAAGTCATCTTAGTGCAGACAGTTCCTAATCTCTTTATTTTTTATTTTTAGAGACATAGTCTCTCTCCATCCATTAGGTTGGAATTCAGTGTTGTGATCATAACTCACTGAAATCATAAGCTGGAATGCCTGGGCCCAAGTGATCCTTCCACCGCAGCCTCCCAAGTAGCTAGGGCTACAAGCACATGCCACCATGCCCAGCTAATTTTTAATCTTCTTATATAGAGACAGATTCTTGTTATGTTGGCAAGACTGGTTTTGAACTCCTGGTCTCAAGTAATCTTCCTGCCTTGGCCTCCCAAAGTGCTAGGATTACAGGTATGAGCCACCATGCCCAACCAAACAGTTCCTAATCTTTTTAAGCTGTGTGGCTTCAGGTTGCTTTTGTTCTCAACATATCCTCTATAAATAGATTCCTACCATTGGCTGCGCGTGGAGGCTCACACCTGTAATCCCAGCATTTTGGGAGGCCAAAGCGGGTGGATCACCTGAGGTCAGGAGTTCAAGACCAGCCTGGTCAACATGGTGAAACCCCGTCTCTACTAAAAATACAAAAAATTAGCCAGGCATGGTGGCAGATGCCTGTAATCCCAGCTACTTGGGAGGCTGAGGCAGGAGAATTGCTTGAACCCGGGAAGCAGAGGTTGCAGTGAGCCATAAGCCAAGATCCCACCATTGCACTCAAGCCTGGGTGACAGAGCGAGACTCTGCCTCAAAAAAAAAAAAAAAAAAAAAAAAATCCTATCATCTCTTTTATCTTCAGGTCATCTTTTTCTATTTTGATGTGTAAATTCTAGTTCTATGTTCTTTTAGTTTTCTGCAAAAGAGTACATGGGGATATATTTATAAATGCATGCATATTCAAAAATTTTCTTCTGCCCTTACATGTAAATGATAATGTGAATTTCATTTAGGATTTTTGAATCATATTTTTGTACAATATTTTCATACCGTTCTTTATGTTGAAGGGGTTCCTGTAGCAGCCTGCATTTTCTTCTGCAGTACTTACCACAATCAGAAGTTACGCTCCATCAAGGCAGTGAGTATCAGGTTTATACACTGCTATATTCCCAATGCCTAGAAAAATGCCTGACATATGATAATACCTCAGTAAACATTTGTCAATAAATAAGTGAATGAGGGGCGGGTGCAGTGGCTCACACTTGTAATTGACACTTTGGGAGGCCAAGGCGGGAGGATCGCTTCAATCCAGGAGTTCAAGGCCAGCCTGGACAACATAGTGAGATCCCATCTCTACAAAAAATAAAATAATTGGCCATGTGTGGTGGTGCATGACTGTGGTCCCAGCTACTCAGGAGGCTGAAGTGGGAGGACTGTTTGAGCCCAGGAGGTGGAGGCTGCAGTGAGCCATGATTGCACCACTGTACTCCAGCCTGGGTAACAGAGCAAGTCTCTGTCTCAACAACTAGAAAAGAAAAGAAAAGAATAAATGAATGAATTAGAGGTTGTATATGTAATGTATTTCTTCTCCTCTGGACTATAAACTTAACAGAAAGAGGAATCTTCTACATTGTTTGCCTCTTGTGTTTCATAACAAAGTATCTGCCTCATAAAGATGTTGCATACATTTTTGTAAGCCAGTGTATGTTTGCATAAGTGAAATTCAGTAAAATGCATTCCGGTAAGACTCAAGTAGAAACTAATTATATATTCTTCTTCCTTCCTTTCCTTTTCCTTTTCCTTTTCTTTGTCTTACTCTTTCTGTTACCCAGGCTGGAGTGCGGTGGCCTGATCACAGCTCACTGCAGCCTTGACCCCACTAGGCTCAGGTAATTTTTCCACCTCAGCTTTCTGAGTAGCTGGGACTACAGGCACACACCACCATACCTGGCTAATTTTTATACTTTTTCTACAAAAATACAAGGTTTTGCCATATTGCCCAGTCTGGTCTTCAACTCCTGAGCTCAAGTGATCCACCTGCCTTGGCCTCCAAAAGTGCTAGGACTACAGTTGTGAGCCACTGTGCCCAGCCTAATTACATATTCTTATTTCAAGACCTCTTTGAAGATAAACCTTTAGTGCTAAATAATCATTCAGTATCATATCCTCTCAGCTTCTAGGACCAAATATTTGGCTTATCTCAACAACATGTATTCAGAATGCCCAATTCAATCTTGTCTTTGCAGAAAAAATCATTTTCTCTTATACACGATCCCAAAATATGCAAGAAAATATACATATTTTTCTCTTCTCCCCCTTGTTTCATAAACTGGTGTTGAGTTTTTAATTTTTATTGATGGTTTGGAATTTATAATGAAAATGAAAATGCTGATGAGGTCTTTGGCTGTAGTAACAAGAAGTACTACAGATGACTCAGAGAATAAAGCTGCCTCACATTACATTAAAACTCATCTCTTGGAAAATGGTGTAAATGGTTGACTGGAGATGAAGGTAATTTATCAATTTATGTGGTTGAGGCATATTACATGATCTTAACTTTCATAAAATTAAATCTGAATATATAACAATTTGAAATACCTTAATGCTAAGCCTTATCATTTGGCGAAGCCCCTTTTATCAAATTGAAACTCTAAAATTACCTACCATCATTTATCCCAATGGTATAACATGTCAATGGCTTACAATGTATCATTTATTTTCATAATCCATCCTTCATGAAAAATATTACCTAAAGTGTTTACCATAAAAGTGAGTGACACCTAAGGCAAAGAAAAATAACAAAAATAGAATTAAAGAGAAAGGACTCAGAGGATGGAAGACATTGATTTAGGAAGAATGAATGACGGAGTTATAGGAGCATCCTATAATGTTAAGTTGTTACATCTTGCTAAAGGCCAAGCTCATTCTGCATATGTGAAGAGTTGATTGCATTATTTACATAGATGTATCTTGGGATTTGAACAAAGTTGTAAGTCAGTATAGAGGAAGTTGGGCATTCCAGGGTGAGCCTATTAGCGTCCTCCAGAGTAGAAATATTGGAATGGTCTCATACAGAAGAGATAGAATATAGGATAATTCGTCATTGATTACTTCCTCTGAATTAGGATATATTTATAATACTGTTTTTAAACCAGATAAAACTAGAGAAAATCTCAAGTAATTAGTCAATTTATTGTATTCCCCATCTTTCTTCTCTGAAACATTCCCTAGGTATACAGTAGTGTAAATATACATTTCAAAAGAGAGAGGTGCTACAGACCCTCTTTGCAACCTGTATGTGTATCCAATCCTCTTGTCTTCTTCTTCATTCTGTTTCAAGAGGATTACACTTTTAAAATGTCTTTTGAATTCCTGATCGCCTTACCATTCCATTTCCACTGCCTTGTCACCTTTCACAAAGAGTACTGAGGTAGCTTCTTTAAAAAATATGTATAGTTTCAACTTTTATTTTAGAATCAGTGGGTACATGTGCAGGTTTATTACATGGGTATGTTTCATGAAGTTGAGTCCGTTACCCAGGTAGTGAGAAAAATACACAATAGTTGGTTTTTCAACCCTTGTCCCCTTCTTCTCTCCTCCCTCTAGTATTTGCCAGGATCTATTTTTCCCATCTTTATGTCCATGTGTACCCAATGTTTAGCTCCCACTTATAAGTGAGAACATGCAGTATTTGATTTTCCATTTCTGTGTTAATTCACTT